>NW_019805502.1:0-230843 GCF_000001405.40 Homo sapiens | reverse complement strand
GAATTCCATGGGGTGTTGGAATTACAGAGTTTTGCAAAGCCTACCATTCCCAACATATGCCTCCTGCTGGTCTATTGACAAGAGCTGAAACCTACCAGGAGACAGGGGTTCCTTTTAGTTCAGTTACAGCCTTGTTTCTAGAATGCCTTCCCCTTCCCTTTCAGCTTCAGTGTTCAGTGGATGTGAACACTCCTTCCTTGAAGCCCTGAGAACTGAGATCCTCAATCTTGACAGCACACAGTCATCTTTATCTAGGGACTTTAAAAAATGCTGATGACCGGGTCCCTTCCCCAGAGATTCTGACTTAATTGGTGTAACCCGGGCACTGGAATTTTTAAAAGCTCCCTAGGTAATGGTAATGTTCAGCCAGGATTGAGAAACCCTGACCTAGATCTTTCTGTCTATGCTCTTTCTGCACACATTTTATGCCCTTGCTACTCCAGGTGAATGAGGGTTCAGCATCAGCTTCACCTGGGAGCTTGTTAGAAATGCAGGCTCTCAGCCCCACCCCCATAACAGAATCTGTATTTTGAATAACACCTTAGGTGATTCCTGGGCTCACTCAGGTCTGCACACAGGCTTCTCAGGGGTGTAATGGGGCAGTGCTGGGGTGCAGACAGCTATAAGAAGGGAGAGGGGATGGTGGGAGAGGGGCTGGAAACTATCTTCATTTATTTTACAATTTTTGCTTAGTGGTCAAAGCATTCAGTAAGCAAGCAAAATCAGATTAGATTTAGCAACAGCAAAACCAACTAAACAAAAACTAGATTTATGACTTTAATTAAATGCCATTTGCATCCTGCATCTCCAGATGAAAGGAAATGGCAAGCACCTCAGTCTTTTTCAGCTTGTGTCTTGGCCAGTGGAATTTAAATCACTGCTTCCTAAGCAGCCTGCTCAGGGTTGAAGCAATGGCATGCTCCTGAGGAATCTAGTTATAGGTGGTACACAATTTCAGAAATAAAAGTGTATCACTTTTGGAAATGGAGTCTTGCTCAGTTACTGAAATAGCTAAATGAAATGCTCACCTTTTCTTTGTAAACTCACACAAGAGAATAGAGAGGAGAGACAGATCGGTTATTGATTTGCCCAACCCTGATGGGAACAGAAGCATGGGCCCTCTGGACTTAGGTTGAGGTGAACCAAACTTAGGAGGCTTTAATTGTGGTACCCTCATGGAGTCTTGGTATAAACTCCAATGAGGAATGCTGGCAGTGGGTGGTGGATGCCTTAATGGAGAGCTCTAGTAAAAACCATAAGTAGTTGAATAATAACTGTGCATTACCAAAGAAGAAAAGACATAAAAAGCCTCACCTGGAGTGGAAAGGGACATTTTGTGGAGGTAGTGAGAAGGGAAATAATGTAGTTATGATTGGCACAAAGGAATGAAAGAGTGAAAGGATTGGGAAGTTTTAGATAGATACAAGAAAGAAAGGAAGGAGAATAAGGAGAAAATGAGGTAAAGGAGGAGAGGAGAGAAAATGAAGCCACAGTGCAGGAGCAGTAGGTGTGATGGCAGGAAGGGATGTGCCAAGAAGGAAGCCAAACAAGCTTAAAGAGGAGATGGGAGCAGGGAGACAGGGAGACAGATGGATGCTCCTGAGCCATTTGTCCCTACTCTGAAGGGGGCAACAGCCTGTGAGCCTCCAAAGACTCCCTGGTGGGGCTTCTTCCCCTCCTCCCAGAATCCTGTGTAGGATGAAGCAACAATCTTCCCTGAGAAGCAACACTAGGGCTCTTCTTTTCCATTGCCCTGTGGCTCCTGGCAAACCAGCTAGACTTTGAAATAGACATCCTCTGGACCAGCTACCCAAGGAGAAAATGCAGAGGGGACCTGGCATGAAGGAAGAACTTTGCAAATTCCAGTTTTATTCCATGCCCCCCTCACGCCTAACCAGATTTACAAAATGAGCTTTTATTACATTCCCAAAGAAGCTACTTCCCAAAGAAGCTACTTAGAGTTGCATTAGTTGAGCATTAAGGGATGTGTGCATGCTGGAAGTGGCTGGAAGGCATTTGCCAAGATGCTTGTTGTCTAAATCCTCTGAAGCTTGACTGAGGTAATGGGACAGATAAGTTGGTTATATTTAAACAGCCAAAACTCTGAAAAGATGGAATTTGTCTGGACATCACTGGAAAGTAAATTGAGCTTGTTGTGAAATCTCTGAAGATATGTTTTCTAAAAGGAGGGTGAGTGTTGATGAGCAAAACGCACTGGGACGGTCATAGCAGTTGGAACAAAAAGAGCATGGACCCAAGAGCCAAATTGCAGCTCTTCTACTTACTCCGGAGCCATGTTGGGCACAGAATCCTCCTAATCCATGAGGCAGGGATGGTGAGAACTGCCTTGTAAGGCAACACACAGAGGGCCCAGTGTACTGTATATAGTGGGTATCAACAAGTGTCAGTTTTCACCTCTCTCCTCCCATCTTTTCTGGGGTTGTTCACAAGTGCTAAAGACTCCAACCATCAGGGATTTAATGAGAGTGGATCTGCTGAAGTAAATATTTGGAAGGTTAATCTTTCTAAAGCACCGATTTCTCTGTAGCACATCCTGTACCAGATAGTGTTCATTCAAAAGCATTTGGTGAGCACCTATTATGTACCAGTCACAGGGGATTCAACAGTGAACAAGAAAAAATTCATCGTACTCTAACGGAAACCAGAAAGTAACTGTTAATGCCCAGGAATGGGGTCATAGCAGTTCCCACTGTAGGGTAGGAGTAGAGAATGGAGGCATTGGAGAGAATCTTTTGGTTGTTTCAAGGACTGAGAGGCACTCTTGTGTCACTTGCTCTGGGGGAAACTACTGCCATGTTATGACAACACACAAGCAACCTTATGGAGTTCCTTACAGGGGAACTGAGAGCTCTTGTCATCAACTTGCCAGTCATGTAAGTGAGCAACTTTGAGAGTGGATCTTCCAGCCCCAGTCAAGCCTTCAGGTGACAGCAGCCCTGACTGACATCTTGACTGCAGTCTCATTAGAGAGCCTCAGCCAGAAAAACCCAGTTACGCTCCTCCTGGATTCCTGTCCAGAGACATTAAGAAGATAATAAGTGTTTATCATTTTATGTTGCTAAGTTTGGGCAATTTGTCACACCTGGGGCAATTTGTCACACCTTGATAGATAATGAATACATTAGCCATTAATAGCTCTTTAAGGATCAGATAAGGTGGTCTCCTAGCAGGAACCCAAAAAAGGTATACTTTTTATGGAGGAAAAGGTTCTTGGTGAAAGGAAGTAACTAATATTTGCTGAGTACCAACTATGTGGTAGGTACTGGTACCTATGTTATCTTATTTAATCCTTCCTAGCAACCATGTAGAATCATGTAGAGAGCACTTGCCTATAAATTTGGAGGTAGTCTGCTGACAAAATGGGATGACAGACCATGTAAGAAAGATCTGTTGGTTTCACAGTTTTGCAGGAAGTTAGTTTCCTATTGGTTGAGTCTTATGGGGCATAAATATCTCTAGGGGAAAAAACCCTGACTGGGGATTGGTTTTGAAGACACAACCCACTAATTGAAGAATTACATACCAAACCCTCTGGCTACCCCTTGGGGACATACCCAAGAAGTACTTAACCAACATTGCCTTCAGCGAGATTGAATGCAGAGACAACATTTAAATGCATGAAAAAAAAAATCAGAAAGCAAAGTAAGAAAATATTAAAACAGTCGAAGTGTTCCATCATTTAATTATTTGTCTATCCTTAGCAAGAACCTCTCATTTGCAATGTCTGTAGCCTTGAGGATGGGAAATACATGATTCCTGCCCTCCAGGAACTGAGGGATGATCAGACACATAAAAACAACGTAGGATGTATTATGTGGAAAATTCCTGTGGCGGAACCTGAGCCTGGCTTGCTCAGTCCTCCTCCTAGTGTACCTTACTATACCCAAGAGGCTAGATAACTAAAAATTAGATTTCTTAGCATTCCTTGCAGCCAGTGTTTTTTTTTTTTGTTTTTGTTTTGTTTTTTTTTTTTTAATTAGACTTTGTCAGTTATAGGCATTTAGGTAAAATTTAGAAGGTGAGAGTGAAACAAAAGATTTTTTCCTGCTCTTTTTGGCTATTTTCTGATGAAAGTAAGGTCATGGGCATATGTTTTCTTGCCATTCAGTGCTCAGCCACCAGCTTTACGGGGTTTGAGAAGCAGTAACTACAGTGGCATCGTGATTGTGGCTGACTGATTCCTAGAATACAGTGGTGGGTTCTTGAATGCAATAGTTTCAGTGGTGGCCTTGGAGGTAGTGGCTCTTATGGTAGATCAGTTTTGCGGAGTTCCAGGAGTAATTTCCGACCCACCTCTAGAGCTCCCTCCCGCAACCCTGCCCCAAATTTTGTAAGCCCTTATATCTCTCTATTAAATCTTTTTCTGCTTAAAATACCTGTAGTGATTTCTGTTTCCTATGCTGAACTCTCATTGATGGATGCCATAAGAAAGGAACCAGATAGTGTTACATGAGATTGGGGCAGGGGAGAGGAGGGGAGGGATGGAATAATTAGAAAGGAATTTTTGGAGGAGGTAACTTTTTAGCATAAAGGAGTAAGGATTTCAAATAGCCCAGGAGAGATGAGGGTTCCCTGGTGGGAGTGATTAAAAGGGGCTGTTTCTCCTTCCCCCAACTTGATACTTCCTCATCACCTCCCCGCCTCCAGCTGGATGGGTTATGGTTTTTATTAAAGTCTGGACTTGAATAGTTACTTGGAGTTTCTGTTTGTTGTCAGTGGGAAATGTGTTATTTCAGTATGGAACTCAATACCCCGAAAACAGATTTTCATGTAGTGGTCTCATGGATCCTGCAAAGATAAATGTACCTGGAAAAGGCAGTGCATTTCCTCTCCTGTAGCCTTCCTTCATCACCCTTCTGGAGACTGCAGGCTGCTGTTCCATGCTAGGCTCCTGATAACCTATCTTTCTGGGAGAGGATAAAATGGAGGGACCAGGTGTTCTCTGACATGGCAAATCAGAAGAAAAATCATTGCATTGGGAGTGAGGAGACCTGGGATCTAAATTTAGCTCTGCTGCCTACCAGCTGTTTAACCTTGGTCAAGTTTAATTAATAACCAAATCTTTAATATTTTGTGATTCTGCCCACTTCTCTCCAGTTTCAAGGCTGCAACCTTAACTCAGACCATTATTATTTCTCCTGTTATCTGTGCATCCTCCACAGTCCATTCTTCTTACCGCAATCAGAATAATGATCTAATCATTGAATCCCATCACCTCTCATTTAAGACTCTTTAATGCTTCTTTGTGCCCCCGGGAGGTCAAAAGTCCTGGCAGAACATAAAGTCTGATTTGTGTCAGTGGGCATCTTCACCCTCTTCTCCAGAGGGGGTTATATTTTAAGGTGAACTAAAACCAGTGGTCCCCAAAGTGGGGAGTTTGCCCTGAGGGGTACATGAGACAGTCCATCAGTGCATGGGTAGAAAATATTAGAACTTTTATGTATATTTTTATTCAGAGGTTAAGAAGGAAATCAAGCTTTACTAGCCTGGCTAGGATTGTCTTTCAAGTTGTTACCTGTCACATGTGGTCCTTGTCTACCGTGCGTGAAGATCAGCATTGCAAAGTTAAGATGCTGGTGGTTGCTCATGCAGGCCCTGGAGCCAGACTGCCTTGATTAGTGCTTCCTATTGGTTATCAATATTGTATTATGATGATGATCACTGCGGGGAAGAGTGGAAGCCTCATTGTGCAGAAGGATGTACACAAAATTGACACTCATATTAATCAGAGTCTTGCAAAGAAGACTAATAGAAGCCCAAATAATTTATACAAAAATGGTAGGGCTATTGGTTCCTTTGTTCTGATTGTGAGCTCATCACCACCTACACTGTAAAAGTAAAGGCAATGATAATCTAATCAGCCACGATGAGATTAGGCCCTCCAAAATGCCAAAACTGTGAAGTCTACTTTAAACAAGGATTTACATTCATTGACATTAAAGATGACCCTCACCTAAGTGTGCATTGTGCCTTGACATATTAGCTGATGTATGTACACATATGTAATTTATATTTAAAGAAACATATTGGGGGTGACTGCCCAAAAATATTTTTCTAATGGAATTGCACAGTAAAGAAATTTGGAGACCACTGAAGTAGGCACATGCTTGGTTCTGACTGTGCAGAGTTTCACTAGACCCCATATGTATCCTCTGATATAACATAAGAATGTGGACCTGTTTGTTACTGATGTTCCTGATGCATTTATAAAGCAGAGTTGTTTCTCTGCGCTATATTTTCAATGGGTTTTAAAGGAGTAGACTGCATGATTTGGAGTATTTTAACTGCAAAATCATTTGATCTGGATATTGTCAGATATTTACTTAGAATTTTAAAATGGTAAATATTATGTACCATACAAAGTTATGCTGCTGATAGGAGGCTATGGTAACATGCCTCCACATGATGGTGAATGGCTTCCTGACATTAGGATTAACTGGATCTCACACCAATTTCATCATTTAGAACGCAGTGAGAAATGACTTTTTTGCATCATATTCATTCTTGAAGTAATTTGTTTACCCCAGCCATCAAAACTCAGTCAATAAACCACGGGGATTGACAAAATGGCACTACATAGGCAACAGAGAAAAATTGGAAAAGTGAATTATAGGTGTGAGTGACTAGTAATAAATAATCAGCTTATTCCTGTTGCAGAAGTGTCTGTGACCAGGAGAAAATCTGACCAATGGAAAATTTGAATCCAACGAAAGTGAGCCACTTAATTATGTATGAAGACATTTGAAAGTAAATATGTTCTGGTTCTCTAAGTAAGACTGTTCTTCAAATACATAGTTTTGTTAAAAGCATGTCTTCTGACTCTTAGACCCTCTCCAGTTACCTGGCATCTGAAATTATGCCATTAGTGACTCACTCCTTTGGGGTAAGCACAGACCACTTCAGGTATCTTCTTTTGAAAAACAAGCACCCCTGGTAAGAATTAGCACATCAAGTCAATGACTCTTTAGGGTGACTTAGTCTATTAGATGATTCCTCCACTGGGAGAGCTCTGGCACACTGTTAGGATTCTGGGCATCCTGGGAGGGGCTGTATGAGAGGGGATGAGAGCCGAGGGTTGAAAAAGAGTAAAGGCAGAGGGAGGAGAATAGAAAAGGCTAGTTATAATGGTTTCAGTTTTGACGAAGAAATACCCTGATTGTAACCCTAGAGACTACATCAACCACTGAATTTATCATAACTCTCTGGTCTTGGGTAGGACTCACATCTTTCAGAATTAATTCAATGTAATACACTATTCAAGAGACCCCAATAAATACAGTGAACTCTCAGTTTTCAGTGACTCTGTCATCTGCTTGTTGATTGTCAATGGTTAATCTAGGACAAAGATCAGACCACTCTCTGGGAAACCACACGCATGTTCTTATCAATTATGGACCAACAAGAGACAGGAAGAGCAAATTTCTAGAAAGAATAGAAAAATGCTCTTCAAAGCACAAAATTGCTGTGATTGGGGATCACCTGTTGTACACTTACCAGGATTCCATTTCTCACTGTTGTGAATGATTGAGCAGTGGTCATTCTGATGGAATCTTTGTGATGATTCATTTGTGATGTTCCCCTCCCTGCTTGTTCAGCAAGCTGACACATCTGCTCAATACCACTCTATCCCAACAACTGATTGATTCAGTAGATTCAGTGAAAAAAAAGCAAAATTGTTTGACAAAATGTACTTTTTTGATAGAATCTATCAGTCAGTTGCTAACTAAATTGATGGGTTATTTTTATCTTGATTTTTTATTTTTGTTTTTGGAAATAACAAGTTAGCTAACTAAAAAGACCAGGTGTCTAATCGACTTGGCTGGTTGTGCTGACAGATATTTGAGATGACATCAATTGGCTAAACTGATGGGAATTTGAATGAGTTCAGTCAAAATGTTTGAATCCATCAGCGGGGAGTGTTTGCTTTGAAGAAAGCACACAAGTGTCTGCATTTTACCACAAGGAAGCAGAAGGCTTTTGGCCTTAAGATACAAAAAGAGGAGAATTCTTTGAAAGAGCCTGAGTGAAATTTTGTATCTTCTGATCTCTTGCAAGGGTCTGAGTTTTTCAAGGAAAGACCAACTTCTTTGCCCCATCACAGTCATGTTTCAAGTCTCTGCAGAGGGTAGAGCAGCTGAAGTGAGTATGGGGGTGAAAGTGTTTTTCACATCACACCAAAGACCCCTATGCTAACTCCACCCTTGGGGTGAGGCCAGAGCTCATCCATGGAAAAGCCACACAGTAGGTGAAGTGGCTTTTCAGTTTTCTGTAATCTTTGCTCCTGCCTCCTTGCCCTGCTTCAAATTCCTTTTTAGATCTTCTTCCACCTTCATTAGGGTATCCAGTGCCCTCATTCTATCCCTCTCCAGGGCAGATATCCAATCTCCATAAGGAATGAGTGACAAATCACTCTGCTCACTAACCCTCTCCAAGAGAGATGACATTTTCATTAAGGACTGACATTAGTTGAATACCTATTGTGTATTAGACACTGTGCTGGGCACTTCACACACACTATCTCCTTTAATGTTCATATCTATTTACCATTGTATGGCTCATCCATGGCCTTTTGATATTTTATGAAATAAGCTTCTTTGACTGAGGTTTAGAACTGAAGGTCTGGTGGAGTTTGCATATTTTTGGCTTAATCTGGGAAGTGAATGAGTATTCCTAGAGTGGGACTTGGATCCCAGAAAGAAGGAGACCCCTGGGCATCATGCACAACCGTACATGCCCTCACCCGACAGAATGGCCAATGCCAAAGGCTCTGACCATTCACATCTTTCAGCCAGTCCTGCCTAAGCAGATGCTTCCTGGATAAGACCAAAGAAAATGCTTGCAATCTTGTCCAAGGAAGTGTAAGTCACCATAGTTCAGCTGAAAAGACTTAAAGATTGAGGATCACCATGGTGTTGCTTCATCATGCTACAGACTTGGAGTCCCTTCAAGTCAATGCTTATTAATGGGCCAGTCTGATCAATTGATTTCAGAAAAAAGCATTGTCAGAATTTTCCTCAATGATGTTCATTTAGAAAACATTGGTTAGGCTCAGCTGGGAGATTCCTTCTGGGTCATGAATGGAGAGCACTAGCCAGTTGGACTGAAAAGATAGAGGGGAAAGAAAAACCCCATTGGAATTAAGATGACAAAGTCAAAGTAGTTGTACACAGACCCAGAAAATATTATAGCTCTGAGTGGTGAATGGATCCAACCTTGTCCCTTTCTTACTATGTGGCCATAGAACAATTCGATGGTAGAGCATGCACACTGTCCTCTTGGACATTCAGTCAGTTGCCCAGAGGGGTGGGGAAATGACTAGGAAAGGAGGAGATGACAGAGAGATCTGGGATCTGCTTAGTAAGGTTCTCCCACTAGACACTAAAGGCTTTGTTAGAATTGTACCTTTATGACCCCATGGGTTTTTCTCTGCAGCACCTCCATGTGGTAAGTTAGGATAAAGCTCAGAAAAGTAAAGTGACTTGCCAAGGTCATGAAGCCAGTTGGTAGCCAGTTAGAATGAAGCTGTAGGTTGGGCCGCGCATTCTCTTTTGTTTTTCCACCATACCATGTGGTGCAGCACTGATCATCCTGAGGGGAGGCAGTCAGGTTTGGTGGAATAAGGGACAGCCTAGGGAAGTGGTAAGGATGAGGCTCTGGAGGCAGATGACTGAGTTTGAGTCTTGGTCCCCCCTCCCATCCTATCCTACTTCACTGCATTATGACCCTGGGCAGAATACAGAGCATGAGTTCCCTCAAATGAGGATGGTCATAAAATTGACTCAGGGTTGGCTTCATGGACCTGCAACAAGTGCAATTTGCATATGGCCCTGTATAAACAGGGCTCTACAGTCACCATCTTGAAATTCACAATAATTCAAATATTTTCAATTATTTAAAAGCTTGAATTTGCGTTTTGTAAGGGAAGTCCAGTGGGACAATGGAGCACGAGCCACTAGATCTTCTGCTCACACTCAGTCCTACCTCCTGCTGCCTCCCTTGGTTCATGGTTCTTGAGTGCCTATTCCCCACCTCTTGGAGCCCAAGGACCTGCCCAGCCTCTTCCTCATTGCCCCCTACCCAGTGACTGCTGCTGCTCTCTGTGCAGAGGTGTGCACAGGTGAGGGTCAGAGTTGAGTGCATGTACCTTGCAGCATCTTAGCCCAATCCTGGTGCCAAGTGTATCCTGGCATCAAGATTACCATACCCTGAGGCTGCCTGTTCACTGTGTGTTGTGGTTGAGGTGGAGGGCCTGTGAGAAGAAGGGATGCCTGACTCAATTTCTCCACTCCTGGTTGGGTACAGCAGGTCAGTCTGATGGCTGGTGTGTGTGTTGGGGGGACCTGGTGGCCAGTGGGCCATTTGGGAGTACACTGAATTGCAGGATGGAACCCCTGGGTTCCCGTGATGGTCTTCACTCATCTAGCAAGTATTTTTGTGTCCCAAGCAGTATGACAATAAGTAGCAAATAAAAACACCATGAGAGGGAGGGAGAGAGAAAAAGAGCACTCGTGGAAGAAAGAAACAAGTTTTATATTTTAGTATCTTTAACTGCCTCTTATTTTCTCTGCTTTTTTAACAAGCGCCCTACATTTTCATTTTGCACCCATAAATCCTGTAGCTGGGTCTATATCTACCTCATGGGCTGTTGTGGGGATCAGATGAGCAAGTACCTGAGAAGGGCTCTGATATTGTTTGTCTGTGTCCCCACCCAAATCTCATCCTGAATTCCCATGTGTTGTGGGAGGGACCTGGTGACTCATGGGGGCAAGTCTTTCCCATGCTGTTCTTGTGATAGTGAATAAGTCTCACGAGATCTGATGGTTTATAAGGGGGAGTTTCCCTGCATGAGCTCTCTCTTTGCCTGCTGACATCCATGTAAGATGTGTCTTGCTCCTCGTCTTCTGCCATGATTGTGAGACTTCCCTAGCCACATGGAACTGTAAGTCCATTAAACCTCTTTCTTTTGTAAATTGCCCAGTCTCAGGTATATCTTTATCAGTAGTGTGAGAACAGACTAATACAGGCTCGGAACAGTGCCTGTTGCTCAGACACTGCTCAGTGTCCTCTTTACCCGTGTCCCTGCCGGAGGTGCAGAGTGGCTGGGTCATGCTCCCTGCACTCTGGAGAGAGACAGACACAATCATGTTCCATGGTAGGGTGTCCCTCCATTCACAAGCCCATCACAAAACAGAATTGTCTGCTCACTTCCTAAGTCCTGACTGACTTCTTTAAATTGGGCCAGGTAACAGAAAGGTAACTACTTTTGCAAGAGTCAGAGCAGGTCGCGGCCAGGACTGTCAGGCATCTCGCTGAACCTAACTGGAAGAAGAGCAAGGGGGATTGTCATATGGCCACATCCGCTGTGATTCAACTCATTGCCAGCAGGATAATGAATTCAAGAATCAGCTTCTGAAATGAACCCTTGATCAAGAGGGAGGCAGTAATTGTGCTGGTTATTAGCGATTACTCCTGGATGGGGGTTAGGGGTGTGAGCAATAGAATTAAATGAAATTCCTTTGAAAGTTCTGCTGTGCAAAGTAAGAGATATAAACGCTACATTATGTGTTTAAAATGCCTCCAGGGTTTGGTTTATAGACTTGTTTATATTTATATATTTATTTGAATGTTTATGACTTTCTCTCTGTCATTTTCACATTGGTATCTTCATACTCATCATGGTTTTATGGCCTCTTTTTGGAAACCAGTGGCTGCATATACCGGCACATGATTTGATGAGAGAAGAAGATTCAGAAAGAGAAAACGAGTTTAATATTATACTTGGGAGGAAGAGCCTTCCCTTGGGGTAAGAAAGTTAAAAATGAAGCAAGCGGTCTGCGTGCTTTAGTTAGAATATTGAGGAATTATTGCCTGAAGGCAGCTGAAAGATGCTCCTTAGAAAGATAAGGAAAGAGGAGCCTTGAGTGGTGGAGGGACTGATTGGAGGTCTCAGAGCGAATTGTTAGAAAGTCAGGACAAGAGTCCAGGTCCCTGATGCCCACCGCCAATGCAGACCCACCTCTTTTCCTTCCTAGACAGAAAGCCAACTTATCCACTGGGTACAGGAGGCACAATGCCTATAGCCCAAGATATTTTTAGGGGCCCATAAAAATGCCTTTTTAAAATCAGGAGAAAAAAATGCATACTATCTTGCTTGCATTATATTTATCTCAATACCAACACAGTCATAAAATATAATTTTTTTTATTTTTATGGAGGAAGGGACTTAAAAAGGAAAGCGTCTAGGACCCTCGCCAGTCATAATGCAGCGCCGTCCATGTAGCCCACCTAAGAAATTTGTAGGAGAAATGCTGGGGCCACTCTCCTGAGCAGACCCAAGCTGCAGTGCCATGTCATTTCTCCCTCCCCTTCTCCACTGCTTTGAAGCCCTCGGGTCTTGAATGTCTTTTTGTTTCTACAGAGAGATCATTTCAAACAGGGAACTGGAGCTTCTCGGTAATCTATTCTGATGGGTAAAATGAGACAGAGATAACCTACGTGGGCACAGACACGCTAACAGTCGGGGCTGGCTGGCTCCATTTTGACTAGAAGGCCCTTGAGGAGGTATTGGGCCTCGGGTCTCTACAGTACAGTACGTGTGAGCTGTAACTGTTGTGTGAATGTGTGGGTTGCCCATTTGTAGAAAGTCCCATTCAGTAAAATGCAAAATGTATTGGGAACCTCTGATTGGGTGTGTATGACTGGCCTGCACCTCCCCACAACCCATCCTCCCATGAGGCTCCCCAGTCTCAGTACAAGGGACTGTCACTTACCTGGTGGCTCAGGCCTCTTTCACACACCACACCTCAATGCACCAGCAATTCCTATTAATGCCACCTCTAAATTATATCTGGAATGTACTTTTTTCATCATCTTTACTGCTAAGTGACTGAGTCTAAGGCACCACCATCCCTCTCCTGGATTAGGTGAATAGGCTGCAGACCAGTCTCTCTGCATCCTCCTGTGCCTGCCCTCAGTCCATTTTCCACACAGCAGCCTAAGCGTTCCTTTGAATATGTAGCAGAGTCCCTCTCCTGCTCAAAACCTCTGCAGGGACCTCCCAGCTCACTCAGACACAAGCCAAAGTCCTTCCATGTCCTACTGGTCTCCATGACCTGCCCTCTGGCCACTTCTCTGATATCATCTTTTACCTCCTGCCTTCATCCCCCAACTTTCCAACCCTTTTAGTTACCGTTTTCCCCAAAACACTCACCACTACCTGACATTCTTGGGGAACTACCAGGTAGTCACTGGGATGAGGCCTTCCCTAGAGCAGGGTCTGTAACAAATGCCAAAATCAAATAATATTTACTGAATGGGTGGATAAAAGACTGTCACTGTAAACTCCATTTCTTTTCTTTCTTTCTTTCTTTCTTTTTTTTTTGAGATGGAGTTTCACTCTTGTTGCCCAGGCTGGAGTGCAGTAGCAGAATCTTGGCTCACTGCAACCTTTTCCTCCTGGGTTCAAGCAATTCTCCTGCCTCAGCTTCCCAAGTAGCTGGGACTACAGGCACACACCACCACGCCTGGCTAATTTTTGTATTTTTGGTAGAGATGGTGTTTACCATGTTTTACCATGTTGGCCAGGCTGGTCTCGAACTCCTGACCTCAAGTAATCCACCCGCCTCGGCCTCCCAACGTGCTGGCATGAGCCACCGTGCCCGGCTGCAACCAACCTTCTTTGGAGACTTGTCTGAGGTTTTGATGGGATTGGTTAATAGATGGCCCAAAGGCCATTTCTAGGGGATGGGACATCATAGAAGCACAGAGGCAGTAAAAGGGTCCAATGGTAGAGGAGGTAGGTGGGGGCTGAGTGGTGAGGAGTGCAGAGCAGCTGTGAAGGCAGTTTTTGTGTCATCTTGGTGAGGCCACAGTCCCCAGTTGATCAATTAAACACTGATCCAGGTGTTGGTATGGGAAGGTACTTTGTAGCTGTATTAAGTTTCATAATCTGTTGACTTTAAGAGCGATTACCTTCGATGATCTGGATGGGCCTGATATAATCAGTTGAAAAGCCTGAAAAGTAGCACCAAAGCTTTCTTGAGAAAATAGAAATTCTGCATGTGAACAATAGCTTCAGCTTTTGCCCAAGAGTTCCAGCTGCCCTTCCTGATGGGAACACGCACACCTGCCATGGTAGGAAGACTCTTGTCTCCCAGAGACACCCAAACCAACATAGCCCTACAGACCTCACTTTGTAAGTTATCCCCTTCTCTTGTTCAACTCCTGGGTAATTCCCATTGGGTTTCATATATCACAGGAAATGCCCATTCTGGCCATCTTCCTTCCCTTTTAATTGTAATATCTCCCTGTTCCCCAATAAGAGTTTGAAATATACCCACAGTGTTTTGAATGAAGATCGTGTTCTAGCTGCGCATGCCTCCATTAACCAAATTCAAGCTCAGGAGTCCTGGGGGTGAGATTAATTTTGTTCTAGGTAGCCGTGCCAATTTCCACTGCTTCCAATAGTATTTCAAACTTAGAGCACTTGGCAAGCCAGGCCTTTCCACATGGTTTACCCACATTAATTAATTTAGCCTTATGCCACTGTGGCAAGATAGGAGAGGGCAACTGGGGTACACAGGCAGAGTTTACAGGGAGACTAGAGAGGAGAGGTGCCTTGTGAACAGAGGAAGGGGAGGGTCTTTATGGAACAGATGCTTTCCTCCAGTCCGTACTGGGTGGTTTTCTTTTTCTTGGATGAAGTCCGTACCACTCAGCAGTAGGGCTCCAGGAAGCATGAGCAATGTGGGCCCTGTGACCTCATTTCTGCACTGCAGCTTCATGATTTGAGAGGGGGACCCTCCTCAATGAACACCCTGGGGGCAGCCAGCTGAGTCTGATGTTCGCTCCGAACATCAGAGTTTGAGTTGAACAAGGACGTTCAAGGCTTTGGAGTGTGTGGAAGTGAGGAAGCCGGGGAGCAGGGAAGAGGTCAAAGGCTGCCGCTGAGTACCTAGCACCTGCCAGGCCATGTCTGAGAGCATTTCTTGGTTCTAATCCTCACAGCAACCCTCCTAGGAAATAGAGGCTCTGCCTGGCATTACAGTCTTTGCTGTTTCAGGCACACATGGAAAGGAGAATCTAATTGCAAAGCTTGAAAGAGGCCACGAGACCTGGTGGAGAGTACACAATTTCTAGCCCCAACCATGTGACTTCAAGTAATTCACTTAATGCCTGCGTACCCCAGTTTACTTAATGGTTAAGTGGAAAGACAGTCTAAATGCAGTGGCAAAAGTGTGGGGTTTGAAGTAAGATTGCCTATATTTTAGCATCTTCCATGCTTCAGCTTAAAAAAAAAAAAACCCAGCAAAATGGGGAATACAAATCATGCCTACCTTACAGGGTTATTGATGAAATGAGATACTGCGTATAAACTGCTTAGCACAGGAGTGCAAAATAAATGTTAACTATCATTAATTCCTCACAGAGATGTTGTGAAGATCATTTTTCTAGCCCATTTTTACTGAGACCCTGCTTTTTGCGTAACATTAAGCTTAGTACTCTAACATGTATGCAAACACACAGAAAGGGTGTAAAGCATACTATTATTTTTATAATACAAGAAAACGGTTTTAAAAGGCAGTTGTGCAAGGAGGTGAAAATGCTGAGATGGTTGAGTAAATGAGATGGTTGGATTTCCGGGTGGTTAATGTGGAAAGGTTTCATGGCAGAGTGAATGTCTGGGTAGGGTTTGGAAAGAGGAAAGGATTACATTCCGGAGAAGGAAGCAGTCATTTCTGAAGGGGATGAAGTCTCACAGGGGTTGGGGGTCGGTGGGGAAGTTGTGCAGGTGTGGCATGCGTAGTTGCCTGGTGGGATTCTGTTCCGACCAGGGTGTGACGGCTGCTGGGGGTGGTGGAGCCAGGATAGTGATGAACCATGAAATCTGTGTGGGAGAATCTCACTTTGGTAACAAGACTTAGGCTCTAGAGTTCTGACTTGTTTCCAAGAGTTCCAGAGTTTAGAGCTAGAAGACATCTGGTTCAGCCTCCCATCTATCAGGCTAGAAAATAGTATCCCAATTTTTACAAGGAAGAGACAAGTAAGGTGCCATGAGCTGTGATGGGTCTAGTTTCTGGATGGTTGGACGGCTGTGCCCACTCTGCCTGGGTCTGCCCTGCTGTTCAGATGCCTTTTGTTCACAGAGGTAATGACCGGTCCAGGAGAGAAAGGAGAGGAGGGGATCAGAGAGAGAGGGACAAGCTGAACCTTTCAATCCTAACAGTCAAATGAAGATCAAAGAAAGCTTGGCAGGTGATCATTGAAGTTCACGGAGAAAACCTGCGGTGCCATTTTCTGACCAGATGAGTCTATGGGTTGTTCAAATTCTGCTTTCCCCAGACTCCATGCCCTGATTCCCTTGAACCTCACATCTAATGTCCAAGCATTCTTTGATGTGTCTTACACTTAAACATCCCATTGCTATAGTGCATTTCCTAATACTCTGCATCCTGGTACTGCGTGCTTGTGGTCCTTCTCAAATCCTCTGCTGTAGCAGTGACTAGTGTGTGCCATACAAATTAACCCTTCCCTCTTGTCCCCCAGCACCCTATGTCCCAAACCTTGCACTCTTGCAGTCTGTATCCTCCCAGCACCCTGTGCTCTAGTATTCAAGGTCCTCTCCTCATTCAAATCAAATTTTTAAAAAGTAAGCAGCACTAAACACCTCACTGGTTGAGAAACTCTGGCAGGTGCTATTTTGGGTTACCCACTGGCCTCTCCACTGGTCAGTTATAGTTACAGAAATTTTTACTGAAGGAGCTTAGGGGTGACGGTCTGGCCAGAAGTGGGGGAAAATGCTAATGTCTTAAGAGTTGTATTGTATATTTTTTACTTAGCTCGAATACTAGAGATCAATACAAATAGCATAGTTTTCTAAAAATCCTTTTATTCACCCTTTAGGTAAGATTAAGGAAATGCGGCAGGGCGCGGTGGCTCACACTGGTGGTTCCAGCACTTTGGGAGGCCGAGGTGGACGGATCAAGAGGTCAGGAGATCGAGACCATTCTGGCTAACACGGTGAAACCCCGTTTCTACTAAAAATACAAAAAATTAGCTGGGCGTGGTGGCAGGCACCTGTAGTCCCAGCAACTTGGGAGGCTGAGGCAGGAGAACGGCGTGAACCCGGGAGGCAGAGCTTGCAGTGAGCCGAGATCGTGCCACTGCACTCCAGCCTGGGCGACAGAGCAAGACTCCGTCTCAAAAAAAAAAAAAAAAAAAAAGATTAAGGAAATGCTTAGTTATCATATCTCAGAATGTCATTCTTGGGATTTCACTATTATTAATATTATTATTGTTTGGGGGTTTGTAGGAGATGATGGGAGAGCTCTAGCCTACGTCCCTTCGCACCAGCTCACACTGCCTCACATTGATGGCTCACTTTTTTTTTTGTGAGACGGAGTCTTGCTCTGTCGCCCAGGCTGGGGTGCCGTGGAGCGATCTCGGCTCACTGCAAGCTCCGCCTCCCGGGTTCACGCCATTCTCCTGCCTCAGCCTCCCGAGTAGCTGGGACTACAGGCGCCGCCACCACGCCCGGCTAATTTTTTCGTATTTTTAGTAGAGATGGGGTTTCACCATGTTAGCCAGGATGGTCTCGATCTCCTGACCTCATGATCCGCCTGCCTCGGCCTCCCAAAGTGCTGGGATTACAGGCGTGAGCCACGGCGCCCGGCCTCACATGTTATTTCTATTGGACAGCTCTGGTCTAGAACTTTGGATCTTTAGTTGTTTGACAACGCAGATTCCAAGGGATCCCCTTGGATTCCATCAGGTTGGAGAGCAAATCCAGAGAGTGTCTGATTTATTGTCAACAGTCATTCAGAGGAATAGCTTTACATTATTGCTCACCTACTCTTTGCCTTAAGAGTTAACAGAAGTTACAAGTACATAACCCAGACATGGGAGAGCAAGGATTTGGGCTTGGCTCTGCTGGACTTGAACTGTCTACTGGGTCTCCCAGGCCCTCATTAGGCCATGGTGCTTGGCTTCCCATTGCCAGAGACAGCCAGACAGAACAGGCCAGGGATCAAGTGCTGCCCCTTGCTGCTCTCAAATGCCTGTACCTTTTGGCTGTGCAAGGCATTCAGAGCTGGTAGGAATATAATACAGTGTGTTTTGGCTGTGAAGCAGAGCTCTGGGGACTAGACCACTGCCTTCTAGTCTTGAGTCTCAGGCAGCATGCTTGGCCACTATGGGAAACGAACTTTCCTGCATCTGCTTCCCAAGATGGGACTGGGAATGGGGCGCTTAGGGTTGTGTGGAAGCTATGTTTTTATGGCACTCAACCTCCAGGTGGAAATGCAACCAGTTCCATCTGATATCCTGATGCATGGTATTGGCAACAATGACATCAGAATACTGAGACATCCAGAGAGTTGGTGGATTTTTATTTATTATATAGGCTTCTATAGACTCATAGATTGGGGATGAGGAGGGAAGAGAGGTTGAAAAATCTAGTGTAATTTTCTCATTTTACATTAAAAAAAATGAAACAGAAAAGTTAAATAAAGGTTAAATATCTGCCCTAATTCTCCCAGCAAGAAGGTGGAAACTGCTATCGCTGGGCCAATTCCTCTTGGTAAGCAACCTTTCCCCCAGGATGGAAGGGAGGGATTTGATGCTGACTCTTCTTGACCCCAGTGATTACTGTATATATATTACTGCCCTGCCATGGGTATAGAGGTATTGGACTCTCTGTTCCTGTATCATCTGGCTATTGCATGCTGCTGAAGAGGTTAAAATCAAAAGGCTTCTCAGGGCTCCAAAAACTCTGCATGCTTCCCCATGTCTACCAGTGCCTGGCACTTGAAGCTTGGAAATCTAGTGGCTCTACTGATGGGTGGCAAATGGGCTAGCCTGGACCACAGCTGTGAAACTGATGAAATGTCTTTGGCTCTCCCAGGTCCCTTTTTCTGCATGTGTCTTCATTTCATGTACCCACAACTCTTAGTGTATAGTGGGGTCTCCTTTGGTGGAGAGAAGCAATCAGGTAAATAGCCTAGAGCCTTGCTACTCAAAAGTGTACTTTATGACCCAGCAGCAGCACTGGGTGCTTGTTAGAAATATTGTTATCTCGGCTGGGCGTGGTGGCTCATGCCTGTAATCCCAGCATTTTGGGAGGCCGAGGTGGGTGGATCACGAGGTCAGGAGTTCAAGACCAGCCTGGCCAAGATGGTGAAACCCTGTCTGTACTAAAAATACAAAAACATTAGCTGGGTGTGGTGGTGGGCACCTGTAATCCCAGCTATTTGGGAGGCTGAGGCAGAGAACTGCTTGAACCCGGGAGGCGGAAGTTGCAGTGAGCTGAGATCGCACCACTGCACTCCAGCCTGGGCAACAGAGCGAGACTCCATCTCAAAAAAACAAAACAAAACAAGAAATATTGTTATCTCAGACTCCTCCACAGACCTACTGAATGAGAATCTGCATTTGAACAGGACTGCTGGGGGTATGTGTATGCCCATTACAGTTGGAGAAGCATTGGCTTAGATTATTAGTAACAAGCTATTACCACCCTCAGGGATATTTGCATATCAGAAGAGTAAGGAGAGGGTAGGAAAACTTTAAATAAAAAAATACACCTCCAATGGGGGTGAGAAGAGGGAGAGTTAAGACCTCAGTGACTGACATGTGGTATTTAGGTCTGTGTGTTGGGGTGGGATTGGGAGTGGGGAGGGTGGTGGCAATTTGAGAGTTCAGACTCTGCAGCACCCATGCTGAGGTTCACATACTGGCTCAGTCACTCATGTTGGTTATGTGATCTTAGTCTGTTGTGAGACATTGGGCGACTTGCCTCAATTTTGTCATCTGCAAGATGGGGATAATATCATTACGTTGCAGGGTTGTTAGGATGAAGTGATTTAATCCATGTCTAGAGCAGTGCCTTAGAACAGTGCCTTAGCACACTGTAAGCACTCAATCAATGTCAGCTTTTACTCTGATAATTTTCTAGGCATGAAGCTGTCCCTGGCAGCTGGGTCAGAGATGCTGCCAACTGCAGGGTGTGACATTCCTACTTCAGGGCCTTTGCATGAATGGCAGGTGGGTCCTGATGTTCCTGTCTGCCCTTACATTCCAGGGGTCTGGACTTTAGACCCCTAGGGTGCCAAGACCTGGGAAAGGAGAGCCCCGCTTGGCTTTCTGCAAGACAAACTCTGTACACACACGTGAGCTCCTGCAATTGCCCATGTCCTGTGGCGGTTTCCAGAAAACAAAACCAATTCACCTCCAGAGACTCCTCACCCTGTTCTGTTTGAAAATAAACATGCAATAGTTTTACGATGTGAATTATAGTCCAGTGGGAAATGAACTAAGACTGTCCAACTTCTTTAGGATGGACCATTTCATAGCTGGGGGGAGTATGGGCCTGTGAGTTTATGCAAAAAACAATGTTGTCAGCAGCTCTGATCTGAGGCAAGGAGAGCCAGCACCCGCAGTGAAGCTCTCTATCTCATTTATCCAGGGAAGGGACATGCTTTGATGGAAAGAGCCAAACTGGGATTCAGGAACTCTGGGTTTTCAAACTGTTGGACCCTGGGCAAGTTACTCCCTCTTTCTCTCTCTGCCTTTGGCCTCTCAGCTAGAAGACAAGGTGGGGCAGAACCTAAATGTCTGCCAAAGAATTGCTGGAGTCTCATGCGCTCTGAAGCAAATCATCCCAGCAGCTAAAGTGGTCAAAATGAGATATTCACCCACTTGGGAGAGGAATGATGGCGACCACCTCATTTTCTGAGAAGAGCCAAACCTCAAGAAAGCCCAGTTCTGCTGGGGTCCTAAGGAGCTCTCACGCTCAGACACAGAAATTTGCAAGCTCCTCAGAATTCCTTACCTTTCTTTGCATTCTTTCTTCAATAGCGCCTCCCTCCTCCCCTCCCTGCCCCAGCCTTGCCACTTCCCTCTTCTTCAGCAAGTTAACCAAATTCTCTCTTCATGGACAGTTCAATGGAAAGTTAGTCTGAAACGACAGTATATCATATTTCATGAATTTAATAGGGTTTTCATGATTTTACAAAGTGCCTCCACCAGACACTCGCAGCTGGAGGCGGCTCAGCGGGAGGCTGAAGCCCTGCATCTGGGTTTTTCAACTCTTGCCAAAATCCATTGAATTTGATCCGGAATGACTATGAATCTTTGGAATGTACAGTCCCTTTTCTCTTGCCTTATCCAAATAAAAAAAGGGGAGTGGGGAGGGTGGTGCGGGGAAATGTCCTATGAGAATTCCATATGGAAACACTAAACGTGCATTATAAAGGATTTCCTATAAACAAAATCACAGTCAGAGATGTTGGCCCCTCACCATGTTGAAAACAAAGGGCCCTTGTGTGTGTGTTTGTGTGCACTTTAAGACATACACGTATATTCATTTGGGGTACCTTGCAGCCCCCCTTTCTCTCTCCAGCTTTTTTTCCTTTCCAGCTCCCCACCCCCAAAACTAGCCCCCAACTCTTAACAAGAACAAACTTTAATCGTTCTGTGCAGTAAATCCCCTACAAATAAATATCCAGGGCAACTTCAAACAGGCTTAATTGGAAGCACATGGGAAGAACTCCACAGTCCTGGCCGAGGCCGCCGAGTTGTAATTTAATGTTATGATCTGCCATAAATATGTGCCATAATGAGTGGAGTTTGGGTTTCCCTTCTGTGTATCAGAAAACTGCAGGTTTGAGTTTTTTCACATTTTTTCTCCTTTGCTCTCTTTGTTCAGTCATCAAACTTCACATTTAACACCCCCCCCCACCCACCAACCCCAAACAAAAAAAGACAACCACAATCTAAACAGACCTTCCTCTCCCTTTCACCTCTCCCTGTAACTCCCTTGCTTCAAACTGTGCATGACTGTACTGTCTTTCCCTTTGCTGTAAAAGAATTACGGTTTAGGGTTTATAGGGTTTTAGAAAAAATGTCTTCAATCACCAGAATGGGAGAAGTGAGGCTAAACCACCTCTGGGCCCTCTAATGCTTTTATCGTAGAATTGTAGCTGGAACAGGCTGGAGGAAACTGGGAAAGGTCACAAAATCAATCCCCCTGCCTGCACACTGCTTTATCCAAAGCCGTGAGGACCGTGGGTATCCCCATTCTCCTCAGAGATCACCAGAGAGGAGTTTTAGTAACACCCTCTGGCAGCTGCACCCTACCTCTAAGCTCACAACATAGGAAGTCTTTCACAGGGCCGATGGATGTCACATGACTTAAGGTCATTTCTCCTCATCCCATCCTTAGGGGTTGGAAGACATTCAGCTGTAGTCCTTTGGGATGACTTCATTAGGGAGAATGCCTCCAGCCATGTGGGTGGGAGAAACTCTTTTTATGAGACAGAATCCACTGCCAAGTCCCCTGTAAACAGAATTGTTACATATCAGGCCTGAAGGAGACTTCAGAGGCCATTCAGTCCAATTGCCCCTGAAGCTGGAGTCCTCTCAGCAGTGCCCCTGACTCACTGACCTCCAGCCTCGGCCCAGGACATCTCAGAAATTGGGAGCCCACCATTTCCCCAGCCAGTTCCTTCTATTTTCAGAGAGCCCTAGTGATCAGACATCTCTCTTTCCTGTTGGGCCCAGGTCCTCATTCTGCCTCTGGAGCTACATAGAAGAATTTGAATTCTTCTCTGAATGACAGTCTTTCCATGATCATCCTCACCTCAGCATTCCCCTTTTCAAGGATTAAAAAAAGGGTCAATCCGGCATTTTCAATCATCTCCCTGCTGCCCTAGCGCCCCCCTGCAACATATGGTCCAAACCACTAGGCAGAATCTTGGACTTTGTTTGTTCTAGTTATGAAATGGGGATAGCGGTGGCATCTGTTTCTGACTTCTAGGATGGCTATGAGGATTGCAATGAGATGAAGAGGTTTGTGCCCTCTGCGTTTTTTTCAACACCGATATAGCAGACCGTGAACTGGTGAGGGTGGGAGCTTCCACACATAGCTTCTTGGCCTCACTATCTTCACCTGCCTTTCCTAGCTGGGTGGTCTTAGGCCAGTCACTTCACCTTCCTGGGCATCAGTTTCTTTCTCTGGGAAATCAGAGAGCTGGATTAAGTGACTTCCAAGATCTCTTCTGGCTCAACAGCCTCATAAGGGCAGGTTTTGATGCCAACTCGTGCCTTGAAAGGTTCTGTATCTCAGATCCTGCTACCCTCTGCTCATCTATCCACTGGTGCTGACAGTGAACTAGACCAGAGGAGGAGAAGCTGTGGTTCTTGCCTCCTGGGAAACTACCTTTAGGTTCATGGGATAAAAAATAGACAAGAGGACATAATCGAAGGGCCAAATAAGATATTTTTTAACCATATGCCCCAAAAAGTATCCTGGAACGGGGTTCTCAACCCTGGTGTTGATGTATTGGTGAAAGCAACTGATTGTGTGTTGGCACCTTGCAAGCCATTACTGTGTTATTAGTATAGTTAACATACTGAGTTTGTGAGTGCATAATTTAACAATTAAAGAATGTGGCTCATGTCTGTAATCCCAGCACTGTGGGAGGCCGAGGCAGGCGGATCACTTGAGGCCAGGAGTTCAAAACCAGCCTGGCCAATATGGTAAAACCGTGTCTCTACTAAAAATACAAAAATTAGCCGGGTGTGGTGGTATGTGCCTGTAATCCCAGCTAGTCAGTAGGCTGAGGCAGGAAAATCGCTTGAACCTGAGAGTGAGCTGCGATCGCACAACTACACTCCAGCCTGGGTGACTGAGTGAGACTCTGTCTCAAAAAAAATAATTTAAAATAAAGAAGAATAAACTTTTTTTTTTCTAGTAAGGACAGTTATTCTTACTCCTGCATATTCTATGATAAGTTCTTAAATTGATAGGGAAAGGGGCAAAGTTATAGTTGGCATTTTATCTCCACTGCTCCTCATACCCCCAAGACTCCCCCTCTGATCCCTGACAGTGTCCCTTGGGAAGGGTGTGGTCTGTGGGATCCTCATTCAGCTTGAAGGTGGGGGTAACCTAAGGCTGCAAACCACTGACACACCTGATTGTAGATTGGGAGATGGAGGAAAGGGACCTGTGGACTCTGATGGAAGAGCAGGGACTCAAAAGGTGGACAAGCTTGCAGTACGCTGGGGCACGGCAAAGGGCAAGCAGTCACGGCCTGGGCAGGTCACCACTGTGTGTCATCTGGACTGGTACAATGGCCTGCCATTCTGCCTCCACTCTTGTTCCCCTGCAGAATATTCTCCATTCAGCAGCCAGAAGTATCCTTTGCAAACCTAAGTCAAATCATGGCACTTCCCTGCTCTGGACCCTTTAATCCCTTTCTAGCACACTATGAACAAAATCCCAATCAGTGCCAAGGCCTTCAAAGTTTATGAGCGTCAGCTTCTAGCGATTTCTCCCACTTCCTCTCCTCTCCTCCCCCACTCCTCACTACACTGACATCTGAGGCTCCTTGGACAAGGCAGGCGCACTGCTGCCTCAGGGCCTTTGCACTGATTGTTTCCGGGTGTGGGACTTGCCCCCTCACTTCACTGAGGTCTCCTCAGGGCAGCCTTCTGTGACCACCTCACCTAGAGTGACACTCCCTGCCATTCTCTCGTCTAACCCACCTCACTTTAAAATACTGAAAGCAATGGCAAAACCGCAATTACTTTTGCGCAAACCTAATAGTATTTATCACTAGCTGATGGTGTATTATATATGTATTAACATATTTATTACTTGTCGGTGCCACAGGAGGGCAGAGGGCACTTTGTCTTGTCTGCTTCCGTATTCCCCAACACACCCAATTAATCCATGTTGACTGAATAAGTATGTGAATAAAGCCTTACTTTTCCCAGTGCGAGGTGGCATCACAGGAACCCTCGAACCTGCTCTAAGTGCGAGATAGGGTGTAACCAGTTCTGCTCAGGAACAGGCACTCAAGGACTCTCGCGGAGCCATTGCTCAGAACAGGCCATCAGAGCATCTCTGAGAGTGGCTCATGCAGAGGGAGAAGGGGGCAGGTGGGTACTGGGGTATCTGCAGTAGGGAGGGAGTGGAGTCGAGGACTGGAAGAGCAGGTAGCGTGAATGGGAGGCTGTGGGTCACCAGACAAAGGAAGCCACCCTGTTAGTTTCACTTCTCTGGGCTCAGGGCTCCAGGGGAACTAAGCTGGATCTGCCTTGCAGGGTGGGTAATTCAGGTATGCCTATGATAAATTTCTAGAATTTTGGCTGTCAACTTCTCTGGTAGAATGCTAATTTTTCTTAATAGGAAACATAATCTTGGAATGTGAGAGCCAGAATGGTTCCCATTTATTCATTCATTCATTCAACTACTATTTGTTGAGGACCTATTGTGTGCTGTTTTAGATACTGGAAATATACTAGGTTAAAAAACTGACAACAATTTCTGACTTTATGGAGATTATATTCTAGAGAGGGGAGGCAATAATCAAAATATATCACTAAATGATATGCTAGGGAGGTGATAACTGCTATGAAAGAAATATGATAGGGGACGGAGTTACAATTTAAAATAGAGCAGTCAGGGAACACCTCACTGAAAGGTGTCCTGTGAATGAGATGTGAGGGTCAAATGAACAGCAAGAAGGCCAGAATGTCTGAAGCCCAGGAAGGAGGAGGAGGAGGAGGACATGGTGTCAAAGAGGTGAGGTGTGGGAATCTGATGCTGAGGGAGATGGGAAGCCACTGGAAGGTGTTAGGAGAGGGTGTCATGATCTAATTTCCACTGGTCATCTGGACTGGCCCTTTCCTTCTAGTGATCAGGAAAAGGCCCAGAGAGATTAATTGACTTGCCCACAGACTATTTTTGATGGAGCCAAGAAAAGAACTCATGTTTTCCTATTCATATTCCGTGAATCTCCCACTAAGATCTGCTGCGTTTCATCTCAAGATTCCGATTCCAGCACTTAACATTTTTTTCACAGCATTTTCATAAACATCACTTCGTTCTATATTCAGAAACCTGCTATCAGAGTCTTAAAGTCAGATTATAGAAGCATAGGCCAAATGACAGAGATGAAGGAATTTTCTAGCTCACACAGAGCTAGAGCTGGGTTCTACGACTTCTGATGCCTGGGCCTCTGCTTCAAAGTTGCAAACTCTCTTTTCAAAAAAGAAGGCCCTACATTCGCCACCTTGAGGCTCCTAAGGGGCAGCTCAACTCCTTGGCTAATCAACAGGTGCATTTCTGAACACTGTGCATTCATATTTAGCTTCTGAAAAATCAAACCTCGTTCTGTGATGGAAGGAGCAGTCCTAGAAGGAGGGCCATTTCTGTTGCTGAATTGCCACATGGTGCAGAGAAAAAAACTGCTACAGGTTGTTCATTAGCTGCCTTCAACCCCACATACAAAGCCGGAAAGAATATGTGGTAATTAGTAAGTGTGGGCATGTGGCGTAGGATCCTGATGGAGCAGGCATATGGCTGAGATGAGGCATGAGTTTCTGTTAAAGTGTAACAGATCTGGGATCCTCCTAAATTAGTCTAGCCCACAAGACAAGTACCATTTCTGCCTGAAGTTGTAAAAATGCAACACCATCTGAAAAATCACCCTGTATCCAAAATCTTAAAAAAACATGGTGGCCAGGTTATTCTGTCACTGTGTGGCTCTGATTCTGTGATTCTAGCCCTGCACTGTTTTAATACAGCGGCCACTAGCCAAATACAGCAAGTTCAAGTTGACATATACTGCAGTATAAATACATACAGAATTCAAAGACTTTACGTGAAACCAATAATGTAAACTCAGTAATAATTTTAAAAATATTTTGGGTCTATTGGGCTAAATAAACACATTATTAAATTTTTCTTTTTACAATTTTTAATGTGATTACCAGAAAATTAAAATTACACATATGGCTTGCATGCAATGGTGTACTGGAGCCAGCTCATACCAGTTCATGAGAGCCACTTGTGTGTCTTTCCTCTCAATTTCTGTGTTTAGTGAGGTCAGGATGGTAGTGTGAAATCAACCACAGTGGGTGTTTTTATACCATGGAAATTGGGGCTTTTTGTTTTTTTTTCAAGAGCTGGCTTACCAGCACATCACTCCTGACATTATATTTCTCAGTCATTGCTATTCTATATGTTTTATTTCCCAAGATTTCTTATCTGGATGTGCAGGTTGAGTGTGGGAGTTTTGGGTGCTTTCTTTTGTTTCTTTCCCCTAGTGCCTGTCTTATCTCATTCATTTATTCATTCATCCACAATCATTGAATAAATACCATGTATACGGAACTGTTTTAGACCATGTAGATTTAAGATGAATAAATCACAGTCCTGCTTTTAGGCATTCAGGAGCTAGTGAGAGTAATGATCCAGAACAGGATAGAAATTAGGGCAGATTTCCAAGGCAAAGATAAAAATGAAACCCAGTGAATAGGACAGACTGTAGTGCTTGGATGAGGGTGAGATGCAGGGGCAGACAAAGCTTCAGGGAGGAAGGGCTGTTTGAGCTGGATCTTTAAGGATGAATGGGAGTTGTCAAGAGAGAAGCTGGGGAAGATCATTTCAGGTGTAATGGGGTTGCCAAGTGGCTTGGAGTTGCCATGGCCTGGGAGGTAGGAATAGGGCATCCTGTTAAATGATAGTGAAAGAGGATTTAGAGCACAAGGAAGAAAGCTGTGTAGAACATGCTGAAAAGTCACACACATGTATTTGCTCTACTCCTTCCTGCTTCCCTTCTCCAATGTCTCTTTCCAGCAAAGGATAATTGGAATGTAGAACATCTAACCTTGAAGCCTCATGTCCCAAGGATCAGGATTCCATGCAAGAAACAAAGCTTTGATGCTAGACCCTGGTGGGTGGGTGGTGAGGAGATCAGACTGTACCTGGAGACACCTCTATAAGGGCCAGGAGGAAGATGAGACTCCATGAGTGGTGGTTGGGCAGGCAGTGGTTCCATTTTGTCATCTGGAGTGTTCCTAAGGGGGGTGGGTAACTTTGAAATTCCCAGGGGTATGTCACATTGGAGATGCCATGTGAAGATGCCCATCAGTGACATCAGTGTGGGAATGACAGGGAAGAGCCAGCAGGAGTAAGTCACAGATAGTGACATTGCAGTAAAGGGTGGTGGGAGAGCACATGGTCAGAAAGCTCTCTGTGTGACCCAGGAACATCATCCCCTCACTGGACCTCAGTTTCCTCATCTCTAAAATCAGCACGTTGGACTAAAGTTTGTGTGTGTTTATTGTATTTATTGATTATTTTACATTCCCTTTTCCTAACTTTTAAGCGTGGGGGTATTTCTCATAAAATAAACTTGAAATGAATTTTTTTTTATTGATATGGCTTTTGTCAGTATCACAAATGGTCAAGAGCACATAATAGAAAAAATCCTTTCTTATCTGTACATGTTATACCACCTGCTCTGGTATGTCTGAATACTAAGTCCTAAAGTGCAAAATTTCTAACCTAGAAGCAGAGGATTTTGCACATTTCCTAGCATCTCTAGCCCAATATCATTTTATTAATTTGTAACAGGCCATCTCAATCCCTTCTGAGGTCAGGAATTATACTACTTAAATGCTAGAGGTGGAGGCTTGTCTACCTAGACCATGTGCCCATGGTGAACCCTTCTTGTTCATCATCTCCTGGTGTCTGATTCTTGATGCTTTGGAAGTCAGTAGGTCAAGAGCAAAGGTATTCTGAGCTGAATGATGTCATGCATGTTCATTTAGACCTTTTCTCTTTTCATCTATATCTCATTGTTCAGGCCACTCTCCAGATGCTGGCACCATGTTCTTGGACTTCCCAGCCTCTAGAGCTGTGAGCTGAATACACTTCCATTCATTATAAATTACCCAGTCTGTGGTATTCTGGTATAGCAACAGAAAATAAACTAAGACAGAGAGCTTATTCACCAGGCTGAGCACACAATGGGGAAATGAGGGCAGCTTCTCTGGAGGACTAGAAACAGATCAGGCTGTGATTCTCTTTGGGCATCTTAGAAGTAGTGCTGCTCAGAGACTAGATCAAGTGACTGTCCTCTAGGGTCATTCGGGACTCAGAGTCCGCTGGATAACAATACAGCAATATCAACAACAACACAGCTAACATTGACTGCTTATGTGTCAAGCACTTCTCCCAACAACTGTGTGAGTAGAATTATTATTATATCCATTCTGAGGATGAGAAAACTGAGGCTCGGAGGAGATACACCACTTACCTTGGGTGAGTGGCAGAGGCAGGATTAAAACTCAGTCTGTAAGACTCAGGGCCCTTGATGTTGGTGTTGTTTTTGGCCCCACACAATGCACTTGGTGTGGTGAGTTTCTCTTCTCCATTGACTTCTAGCTTTCCTTAACTCTTAGAAGGACCTTGAGCTTGCTACTTCTCAACTCTCTCACCCACTGTTCTGGACTCTCCTGGCTCCACGGCCTCTCTCCTTAGCTTGGATACTGAGCCTGGACATCCCAGAGGGTTGCTCTCTAGGACCCTGGGTCCCTTGCTTCTCTGTCTGTCCCCCACCTGTCCTTTGTTCCTGCAGCCCTGTGCAAGGCACACGGGTGGCCCACGTCCATGAGATGCCCTCATCGCTGGGCCCACACCCCTCTGCCCTCTGTTCTCATCTCCCTTTCTCATTCCCAAAATATCCACTCTAGACAATCACTGCTCTTTTCGTCCCCATATACCCTCACTCCACCCTCCCTTCACAGTGAGAGAAGATGACAATTCATGGAGAAAGCAGGAAATGCCCTCCACATTCCCTCCCTTCCCCATGGCCCTGGTCTCCCTGCCTCTCTGCCATGTCTCCTCTCAAGGCCTTTCTTCCTTCCAGCTGTCCTGCAGAACAACTGTGCCTCCTGCCTCCTGCTCAGCCTGGTTTTGCCTGAGTATTTCCCTCTTCTGCCTTCAATCTGTCTCTAGCAGCAGTTTCCTCTTCACCTGCAAATGTGCCTGATTCTCTCATCTTAAAGTTGAATCCCTTGCCCACTGTCTGCCTTAAATTACAATCTTATCTCTCCCTCTGTCACCCCAGCCTCAGTCTGAATCTCAGCTTTGCCCCTTACCCGTTCTGTGACCTTGAGCAGGTTATATGACCTCCCTGTGCCTCCATTTTTTCATCTTTAAAATGGGGCTCAGAGCATTACCTGCAATATATGGCTGCTATGATTAAAAAAAGTTTAATACATGCAAAACAGCCAGAATGAGGGCTGGCATATGCTAAGCCATAACTGAGAACTAGCTACAATTATTCTCCTCCCATGCTCCCTAGACTGTCTTCTTCTGTGATGGCTAGGCACTGTTTTCCTTCAGGCTTCCCTCTCTCCTAAGACTGAGACTTCTAAGGCTCCTCTGAAGTAACCACCTCCTCCCCACACTCTCTCTAAAGGCTAGTGCTCCTCAGGACTGTCCTTTCCTAACCTTTCTTGCCTCAGCCTTGCTGTATGTTCTTCCCCAGTGATCCTGTCCACTCCCATGACTTTAGCTAAGACAGATCTGCTGACGATGACCACATTTGTTTTTTTCAAATTCTGACACTTTTATTGTACATGCAATCATGTTCATCATAAAAAAATGCAAAATGTAGATAAGTGCTACCTCCTTCCTGTCCCCACTGTCCCAGCTATGGTTCTGGTTTACTTTGTCTCATTTCCTACACAATCAAAACCTTGCCTGCTGTCCACAGACTTCTTCCTAAACACAAAGTCTGATCTCGTGGCTTTGCGTAAGGATTGAGGTATTGTGGCTCTTATAATCTGCTGCAATTTATTTCCCCAACATCAATATCCCATCTCTCCCTCCTATGTCCCATACTTGTTTCAAGGCAACCTCAAGGCTTCCCGAGTCCCCCATTCCTTTTCACAACTCCATGCTTTTGCACATAGTGTTCTCCCACGTGGTATTCTTTCTTCTTAACTCTTTGCATGGTTCACACTCCCTCTCTTTCTTTTGAACCCAGTTTACTTTACTTTAGCTGCAAAGACTTTCCCAACACCCCCAAGTAAAATTTGCTGCCCCTTTTTCTGTTTTCTACAAGTTTTGGTTCATACTTCCAATACTTTGCACTCATCTATGGGCATCTTGAGGGCAGGGATGAGGTTTTATTTGTCACTGTAGCTCTAGTGCCTGTTGTGGGCCTGGTGCAGCTGGTGTCTGGCCCATGCCTAGTGAACGAATGAGTGAACTCTTGATTTCATGCTGCTGACATGAAAGCTTAGAAAGGCATGACATTAACATATACCTAAAAAAGACAGAGGTTTGAACCATAAATGCAGATTTCTTTTTCTTTAGAAGAAAATATAATTTTGAAACATTTGAAAATAACTAGCCTATAAAGCCACTTAAACAGGGAAAAGCAAGTTCCCCATTTATGTGAATGTATCTGAGAGCATCACTACCATCCCCAACCCTATTGATGAGAAAAATCTTCCATGGTAATATTTATCCCTTGCATGAAGTTGTGTGTTTCTTCAAAGATCTCTATATTTGTAATCTCATTTGATCTTCATAACCTCCCCATGACAGACTGCAAAAATGGTCTCAATTCTCCATGCCCCCTTGCATCCAAGCCCATACAAAGAGCCTTGTAGCATTTCTTATCAAGAGGTGTAATCTATTTTCCCATCCCTTGGATCTGGGCTGACCTTGTGATTTGCTGTGACCAGTAGAATATGGCAGAAGTGACATTTTCTTTTCTAGTCCTGAGTCTAGTCCCCAAAGGCCTTGCAGCTTCTGCTTTCTCTGTTGGACACCTGTGACTACCATGTAAATAAGTTTGGGCCAGCCTCCTGAAGAATGAAAGACCACATGGAGCAGAGCTGAGTCAGCTGATTCATCACAGCCAAGACCTCTGATCCTTGAGCAAGCTGAGCAAAGCCAACTGGTAGCTGACCTTCTAGCTGCCCACAGACACATGAGCAAGGCCATCCTAGACCAGCCAGCCCCCAGAAACCTTCAGTTCCTAAGCTAAATAAATTGTAGTTTTAAGCCAACATGTTTGAGGTGATTTGTTACACAGCTCTAGCTAACTGATACACTCTGTGAGAGAAAAGGACAGGAGTAATAATTATCTCCATTGTTGGAATGAGGAATCAGAGGCTTGAGGAGGCAAAGCTTCAGTTCCTAATTCAATGCTATGTCTATAACATTGGTGGTTTTCAATAATTGGTTGGACACAGAGTTCTACCTTCAGGCAAAATTGTATGTATTCCAATATGGAAAGCCAGTCAAAAGAGTACCTATACTGTTGAAGGTGGCATAGGGCCCTAGAACCCTGTACCTTTCTTACTCCTTGGCTCTTTTCTGCAGGGTGGTCCCTGGGGGGCCCTGGATCAACGCAGTTCGACAACACTACATTTATACCACCAGTCAACCACTCCCAAAATATACATGGAGTAGCTACTGTATGCTTAGGCTTGGCCTTGAGACAGTGGGTGGCATTAAGGGCAAGAAGAATGTGTGGTTTATGGTCTGCAATAACCAAAATCAAGATGGAGAAAAACAAGTCAACAATTATGAAGTCATAACGAACCACATGAAAATGGTGACATGTAAGTGAGTGATGAAATTTGTGGTAGAAGGTCTAGGCCCTAAAGGTGTTGTAGAGAGGGTGATGGTTGTTTGGGAGATGTCAGAAAGGGGCTCCTGGAGAAAGTGAACTCCAAAGCAGGACAGGACTTGAATGGTTAAAGGAGAAAGAGGAGAGCCTTTCAGACAGGGAAATGGTAGGGTCTAGGGGAAGGGGGTACACATTTTGTTTGTGGGACAGACCAGGAAATATGGCCCACAGGGCTAAAGAAATTTTAGGGCCTTGGAATGGAGTGAGTTATCCATGGAAGTGGATTGTGAGCTGCCTCTATGTCCTTTAAGGTCCACCTTTTCCATGGAGCCTTCTCTCATTACTCCCCAAAGAATAATTTATTATTTTTCTGAATGCCATGTCCTTCATTAAGTAATTAATGACTTTTCCCCTCCACCAGAGTGCAAATTCCTGTAGGGCAGAGCTAGTTTTCTCCTTTCTTTATATTATTCATGGAGTTGACTTGGGAGATTTTGGCCTGTGAACTTTGACTAATGATAAATTTCACTATGGACATGTTGCTGTACTTCACAGCAATGGGATCACAACTTCTCAGTCTCAACCCCTGTCATTTTCATTTTACAGTCAGAACAGTATCACCCTGTCTAGCATTTTGGCTTGGGAAATGGGGTGCTAACAGATGGGCAATTGGATTTAGCACCTTTTGAGTCAAAGGCTTCTGGGTTCTAAGGGATGGGGAAAGGGGCCCATTAATCACAAATGACATTTTGTGAATACTCTATTATGAAAGATTGCTGGTTTTAAAACAGATTCACAAATTATGTGATGCTTCTTCTATCAACAGGTGAAGTCCAATTCTCTTGATTATGGGCTGGCCTTAGTGACTCTCCTCTTACAAATAGAAAGTAGCAGAAGTGATACTGTATGACTTTGAAGCTAGCTCATAAAAGGCAAGATAGCTCCTTCCTGGAGCTATCTTGTAGCTCCAGATATCCAAAGCTCTGTAGCTTTGGAGAAGCTTTTGAATCCCTCATCTACCATGTGTATTAAGTATGTTTTTATTCTCGGTATTTTGATGCTTTGATGTCTGAGGCCTTGCTGACCCTGGAGGTTAGCTAATTCCTAGAGATAAGAAACAACTCCCCTGGGAGGGTGCCCTTCATATGCAAACCAAATAACCAGAGCCTGTGCCCCAACTACCTCTTTTGTGGAGTTCTCTCACTCCAGACCTCTCTGTTTCAGGCCTAATCACCCCAAGGCCCTGTACCAGACAACTAAGAACAGCTGCTATGCCCTAGAGCCTGCTGAAATTATTCAAACTAGACAATCCTAAACCTACTTGCCCTGCCTCCCTTGCCCATTCCTTTCCACAGGAATACAATAAAGGCTCTTGACCAAATTCCAGCCCCACAACCCTGGTGCCTGTGTTTCCCATGTGGCTCCCCTCGGCGTGCCATGCCCATCCCCTTGGCATCTCTGAGTATAACAAACTGTCCTTGCAATGGCAGTTGTCTCTTGATCCATTGGCCTCACCACATCTGAATAATGCGGGCTAAATTTTAAAACACAGTGTAGGAAGTCTGCCAGGCTGGAAGGACCACATGGAGAGACCACAGAGACAGGGAGGGAGAGGCAAGGAGCCCCTGCTGTTCCAGCCTTCTCAGCCCAGGTGCCAGACACTGAAGAAGCCTTTAAGAAGACCCCTGCTCCAGTGGCTCATTCCTGTAATCCCTGCACTTTGGGAGGCCGAGGCAGGTGGATCATGAGGTCAGGAGTTCGAGACCAGCCTGGCCAATATGGTGAAACCCGTCTCTACTAAAAACACAAACAAATTAGCCGGGCGTGGTGGCGTGTGCCTGTAGTCCCAGCTACTCAGGAGACCGAGGGAGGAGAATTGCTTAAACCTGGGAGGCGGAGGTTACAGTGAGCCGAGATCGCGCCATTGTACTCCAGCCTGGGCGACAGAGTGAGTGAGAGAGACTCCATCTCAAAAAAAAAAAAAAAAAAAAAGCCCCTGCTCCAGCCACCTTCTCTCCAAACACCCAGACTGAAACTGCCTGGGTGTTTCCAAGCAGGAAGTGCCCATCAGCTCCTAGAACCAGGAGAGACAATCATACTAAATGACTATTGTTGTTTTGTAACACTAAGCTGGGACAGTTTGTTACAGTCATAAGTATCTGAAACAGGAGAGATGATTAGAGTTACAGTTCTGCAGATTTCATTTTTATTCCCTTTGACTGCCAAATCACTATTTATGACTCTTTAAGATCATTTAATTCTTAAAATTTGAAATCCTTCAAGTTAGAGCAAGATGCTGTAGATGGCCTCTGCTCCCCAGCCGGGGCACCAGGAATATCTCTCTTGTATTGCTTCGTACAGTGTCTCAAAGAAAACATCGAGAACTACTCAGAAATATTTCTAGGGGCACCAGGAGGAAATTCAGAGCCCAGCATGGCCAACAAGAAAAAAAAGTGGGAAGAAAAAAAAAAAAAAGAACAAGACAAACTAGGCTTTCAAAGAAAATTGAGGATCTGGAGAGCCTTCAACTATTTTGATTTATATTTAAACGTTTCTTGAGATTGAAGTCTTGATTAGCCCAGTTCTCTCAAGTTCTGCTTCAGCCCTGATTTATGGGAAGGCCAGGCCAGAGGAAAATGAAAGCAAAATGCGGTGTTCTTTAAAATTACCTTGGAGCACTTGAAGGAGAGCACAAGTGCTCACGTGGGGATTGAAAAGGAAGTGATGAGACGAGCTTCTGAAGCCCTAGATCTGCGGGTGCCTAGTGTGTGTGAAGGGGAGAGACTGTGAAGGATGAACTACAATCTCTGCAGGTGAAAACCCTGTAGGATGCTTTGTTTGGCTTGGTTCCCCATAGACTGAGTTCTCCATCAAAGTGGGGATCTGAGAGCCCAGGCTGGCAGCTTTGATTTAGTGACCCTTCCATCACCAGCTAGAAGGGAGAAACTTATAACATGGGGAGAAAGACAGGGGCATGGAGGGAGGGGGCTACCTGACAGTGGGTTGTGGTAGTGAAATCCAGACTCACTGTAGCTCAGGGACTGAATCACCCTCTGTCCCAGGCAAGAGAGCTCCCTGATTCAGATTCCCCACTCTGACCTTCCTTTTACCATGCCTTTTCATGGTCAAGAAACCCACAGGGCCCAGAAATAGTGCTCACGTGGAGTTCACTGCCCTCTTTTTCACCTCACTAGGGTTACCTGGGATCTGCAATTTCCTGAATAAATGGATCCAGACCCACTTCCATGGTCGGTGTGGACAGAGCTCCTCCTTGCTTCATCTTTCTGAGGATAGATATCACTGGTGATGTGTACATTTCAGGACTTGAAGGAGGCCAAGTGGTGGCTATTTATAGGAGGCTGTAGAAAAGCTTGGACACATGGCCTAGGATGTTCATATGCATATGCCCAGGTCTCATAAAATGTAGGATGGAGCCAAGCGTGGGAAGAGAGGAGAGGTATAGGCCAGAGGCCTCCAGCTTTGCTACAGAAAGCTGAGAATTCTGAGAATTTGAAATTCAAACTTTGCTTTTCGGTTGATGAAAAGGTACATTTGTCAATGAAGGAGGAAGAAACGTATTTGACATTTGTTATCTTGATTTATAACTCTTGCATATTTACCCATATGGTATATGTCAGCTTCCATATGTACTTGTGCCCTAGGTATGCAAATGTTAGGAGAGGGTCTGTGCAAAGGGCAGAGGCAGTGTGTGTTGTTGGTCTATTGTGTCAACCTGCAGAGAGCTGAGTCTTTCTCCAGCCCTCTCCCTTGAGGGTGGGACGGTTTTTGTAGGGTGGTACTGCTTTCAACTTTAACTCCACTCCCAAACCACCTCAGCTCAAGAGTCAGCAATGGCTGCTCCAGTCTATAGGAAGAACCCTGAAGACCTATGGGATATTCTGGACCTAATCTACTGTCTTTAACCTACCTCTCACCACTATCCTCTTCTCTTCCATGAACCTTCTGTCTGGTAGCACAAGCCCCTTCACTACTTCTCCATGCTCCTTCTCCCCATAACTCCCCTACATTACACACACATGCATACACAAGCACACATGCATATAGGTGCACATACACACATGCACGTGCAGGCAAGCAGGTTCCTTCCTGTCAATTGACTCATGACACTAATTCTGTCTCAAATACCATTCGCTCTTCTCTCCATCCCATCCAAATCCTACCCATTTAAAAAGATCTAGTTTAACTTCCTAAACTTTGTTTATTCATTAATTCATACGATGACTAGTAATTGACACTGTACTAAGCCCTAGCTTACAGCCATGTGAATACATATTTTTCTCTAATCCAGTTTGCCTTGATCTCTATTTTCTGAACATCTATATCATATGTCATTTCTACTTAATTTTAATAAGGTTTCAACACTGTTGTCTAAATTTTCCCAGTTGTAGATTTTGTCTTAAACTAGATGATATATTTTTGATGAGCAGGAACTCTGTGCTGGGCCATGTTTACATTTTACTCATTGGCCTACAGAATTTAGTGGCATAAAGTTGATATGTAGAAAAGGGCCATTGATTAAGTGATAGGCAGATTGATGGAGGGATCAATTGATTTGCTGCCAAGCCACATCCCATGTAAGGGAATTTTCAGAGTATGGGTGGTCTGGCTTCCATTCTTTCTCTGCCATTTTTAATGAATTGTTTCTAATGTATTATGGATGTATAATGCCTGAATTCATTTCAGCCCCTTTGAACATATTGATATTTTGGCCTGAAGTCTTAGTAAGAATGATTTCTGTATTATGACTTTGAGTTTTTATTTGTAACTTATAACAAATTACTCTTGTAGAAAATCTTTTGTTGAAATAAATTCAGTTATTTATTATTTCTTATTATTTCCATATGACATTTGGTTTGCTTTTCTAACATCTCTAACATCTCTTCTGGTGGGGCTGGAATCCCTGTTTCTATCTCTCTTCTTTCAAGAAAGAAGCTTATATTGAAGCAGTATTTCTCAAAAGTATGGAGCCTGGGTCAGTGCCATAAGCATCATCTAGAAACCTGCTAGAAATGCAGTTATCAGGACCCAGTCCAGACCTATCAATCATTTCAACAAGCCTTCTAGGTGATTCTGATGCATGCTAAAATTTGTGAATCAATCTATTAGTTGAAAGAACACTGAGCTGGCAGTGTAGACCCTGAATTTTGGCTCTGGCTATGTTATTAAAGGCTGTGTGACTCACTCTGAGTCTTGGTTTCCTTGTGCCCATTTTTCTGTCTGTCTTGGTGTTTTGGGGGATAAAGGCGGACTATTCTCCACTTGGTTTTTTAACTGCCAACATGGTGACAATAACAATGATGCTTCATAAGGTCGTCTTAACGATCAAATAATTTATTACGTACTCATCCTTATAGAATTTTTTTTTAAACCTCTCAGAATAAAGGGAGCCCAGGCTTTCATTATTTTACATTGGGTTGCACAATCGAGAAATCTTGATTTCCACCATTTGTAAGTGTTACAGCCCAGTGGGGAATGCACACACACTTGCCCATAGAATGAGTATACCTGAAGTGCCCCAATAAGTGGTATATACGATGACAATAACCTCAGAAGAGGAAGCAGCTTCTGAGAGCTGGAGTGGTCACACTGAGAAGGTTGCATCTCAAAGATGAGTTCTGGATTGAGACTTAAAGATAGGTTACAGATAGATGAATAGTGAGGAGGGGCACTCCTGGTCAGCTCAGGCAGGTGAATGCCAGGGTTAAACATGGCAGTCTAAAATGGGGGTGTAAAGTGAAGACAATGAGTAGATCAATTGCCAGGAATGGGGTATGTGTTGAGAGATTTAGTGGAAGATAACTTGGAAAAGATGTTGGGACTAGGTGTTGAGGGTCTTGACAGAAGGCAAAAGAACCTGGAAACTCCAAGAGAGAACACTAGCATAAGAGGTCAGTGGTTATGTTTTAGATGTCTTCAGGGTCAGTAGGATATTTACGTGGTGATTTGTTGGGGGCATCTTATCACATGCTTTTAGGAAAGAAGACGGAAGGTAGTTCTGAACCCTTGAATTCTATTTTGGGAATTGCCTTGGCTGGCTCAATGGAGCCAGTCTAAATGCATATGTGTTAATTAACTCTGAACAGCTTTAAAGACTGACCTAATCACAAAGTTTCAGATACCCCAGAGGAAAGGAAACAAGTTGATCATAGCGGTAGCTCTCAGTTCTGGCTATATATTAGAATCACTGGGGAGCTTTAAAAAAATCCATATCTGGACTCTACCCCAGAGATTTTGGTTTAATTGGTCCAGGATGGGGTCTATGCACTGTTTTAAAAGCTCCCCAGGTGGATCTAATGTGCAGCCAGGGAGTGAACCACTGCCCCTGGAGGAGCAAGCAGGTATAACTGTAGGTACAGATAATGTTCAACCAACCCTATCAATCAACCCATATTATATTTTACTCAATGAGAAAATGTTTCTGTTGTTTCAGACATCAGTTTTCTCTGATTTTTGGTGGCTCTTCAAGTAATGGATCAGACTGCCGTTGTCTTGGCAGGCTGGGGAGTCTGGCAGATATGAGTGATCTTGGCTGGTATAATAAAAAAATATGGACCCAGAGAAGAAAACATAAGATGTGGGCCCCGTTGAGCGGAGCAGTGGAAAGGCCATCTTAAGACTTCTGTGTAATGCTCAGCAAGGAGTCAGGAGCTACGGACTAGGACCATTACTTTAAAGACGTTGTCTGATTTCTTAGAATTTTATAATGATCACGTTTATTTTTAATACTCCCTTCTGTAGCCTCAAAGCATCTACCAGTAAATCCTTGAAACTGAAAAGGGCCAGCCGGCTCATTGTCAGGAGAGGAGAACTAGAGGGCTTTGTGGCATAGCATCTTGGAGGGAAGAGCCCCCAGGCAGAGCCTGGATGTGGACAGCTTTCCAGAGAAAAGAGCAGGCTGCCAGGAAGAAAGCCAGCTGGGAGCAACAGTCCCTCATGGCTCCATTGTGTTTGAAAGTACAACTAACCCAATGCTCAGCACAAAGAATTTATTAAATAAATGTTTGTCAAATTGACATGTGTCCTGTCCTGGCCTCCGTTATTTATGGATTGTGTGTCTTTGAGTGTGTTATTTATTCATCTACAGTACTGGCTTCCTCCTCCTTAAAGGGGAGTTAATCAGTCTTCAGGAAGTGCCCCAAAGGCACAGGAGAATCAACCAATAAACTCTGAGGAGTCTAGAGTTAGAGCCTAAAGTGACACACCTTTAATGACATGTCATTTCTCCAAAGTCTCAAGTTTTACCTTAACAACTCATATACAATGTTCTTTCCTCCATTCATCATAATTTTACTGAGTGCCTACTACATGCATGGCACTACTGTAAGCACTTGGGACTCAACACAGAGCAACAATAAAAAAGACCCTAGTTTTATGTTGTTCTATTCTAGTGGAGAGAGACACAATAAATTTCATGATTTATCTGAGTTTGTTGAAAGTAGAAATAAGGAAACATTATTTACAACTTCTAATTTCTAAACACTCTCCTTGTCTCATTTCACAATCTTGGTACCAAATGATACTCCAGGAGGAGGTGCATGGTCCTGGTGCCTGGCCTCCTGCCATGTATTAACAAAGGCATGTGGTCCTGGATGGGAGGACAGAGGATAAGGGGTTTGTTAGGATCAAGTAAAAGGATAGAAGGTATATTGCTTGATCAACATCCTATGTAAATTGTAAAGGGTGGCTACAATTTTTAGGAATTTTATAATTCCAACGTACCATGCTCCAGAATGCAATGGACTCAGTGCCTGCAGCTATGCTTTCTCTAAAGTGCTCTTATTCTCTTCTCACTCTCAGATTCTGGTATTTGGGTACATATAGGTGTGGTTGAACTTAGAGGAGGGTGCTTTAAGATCTACCATCTGGGCTAAATGCCAGGCATATAATCCAAGAGGAGCTTCATTTCAAGGTGAGATAGGTGAGGGTGTAGGGAGTCTGGAGCCTGGGTCTTAAAGAACGTATCAGATGTCATAGAATTTTGGAGCCAAAGGGTAGCCCAGGGTGGTTGAGTGACAGGTTTAAAGTCACATGGAAAATTAGGGATGGAGCTAAAATGAGGATAGAGGGCTGTGTTCTTCATCCTTCTTTGCTGTCAAGAGATGCTGACCACATACGAGCCCACATTGCTCCCTCTCCAGCTGGTGCCCCTCAATGCCACACACTTGCTATAGGATGAAAGACACTTTTTCCTGATTATCTGGAACCATTTGAAACAGTTCCAATTTTTTCTTCATTTTTGATGACTCTATAATTTAGCACAGAAAACAATGATGAGAGTCAAGGGATTTTGCAGTTTTAAAAGCCATTGCAGGGCTTTTAGTCAAACTCTCTTGATTAAGAATGAAGGGGGGTAGGCTGCAAACTGAAGCCTGAAGAAAGAATGTGACTAGCCCAAGGTCACACAGCTGGTTGGTCGATGGCTGGAAAGAGGCCTAAGGACTCCTGGCTCCCTTCCCAGGGCTGTGTCTCCCACTGTCATTTGGAGTGGTTATCGGTGTGGACTCACACTCTTGGTAGACAGATTATTTAATGAGCCAGCTAACTTTGCCATAATAGCATGAGCATTTGGTAGTAAATCAGGTCCACTGTCACTACAGCTTACCTAATTACCCACATGTAGTCAGCTAGGGTGGACTTTCTCCTTGAAATCCTTATTTCATAGAATATTGATTTCCCAGATATATTGTTGTGAGATGGCTAATGCTGGCCAGGGATGAGATATGAAGTCTGAATTAAATATACCTTGAGTTGCTTTTTATGGCATTGGATCTCTAAATCTTGAATTTTATTTTGTAAGGAGGAAGCTCATAGTAGATTCTAAGGGAGTAAGAAAGTGTAGCACTGGTATATTAATGAATCATTTAGAATAGAGTAAAGGGGTTAGTTCAAGGTTAAGAGATGAGTTTTATTTCAAATAGGGAGATAGTTGAGAGCATTTATAGGCTATTGGTGAGAAACCAGTAGAAAGAGAGAACTGGGTTTAGACGGGAGAAGGGCAACAGATTTTTTCAGACTGGAGGTAAGGATGGGTGAAGATAGAAATAAATAGAAGATTGAAGCTCTGTGTTGAGAAGCAGTTGGGATAAGGACAGTGGGGCATGAGGGGTGAAATTGAAGGCCCATGCCCTCCTAACTAGTGAAATGTTGGAAGTGCAACTTAGGCTAGAATCGGTACCTAATCTTTAGGGAGAAATGGGAGAGGTGGGCACTTCCTCCTACTTCCATCAAGCTAATTTAAATCCTACTCAGTCTCCTGGAAATGCTCTCAGTCCATAACAGCTTACAATACATTCCTCTTCTTTTACTGGATCCAGAATTTACCATCAATTCCATAGTGTCCAAAACATAACTATCCATAGCCCTGTATTACTCTTGTTTTATTCCAGATTGATATGCCACACATTTCTGTATCAGTCAGGATAGGTTAGGTTATGCTGCAGTAACGACCCCTCAAGTCTCTGTGGATTAAGACAACCAAGGGTTAGCTCTTACTTATACTATAATACATAGGTAGGTGCTGGCCTCTACTTCGTATTGTCATTCAGGGACTTGGGCTGACAAAGGGCTGCTCATCAGGCAGGCTAGGTGACAAAGGAGCTGCCTTCTTGAATGTTGCTGGTACCTCATGCCAAGGATAAAAGAATGCTTTCTGAAGTCTTGCCTCAGCAATTAATTCTGTGGCTCAGAAATGACATGACATTTTTGCTTACAACTCATTCTTCAGAACCACTCTCGTGGCTCTGCCCATCACAATGAGGAGGAAGTACAGTCCTACCATGTGCCTCAAATGGGGAGGGACCATAACACATTTAGCCAGCAGAACTCCTCCAGCTAGACAGCACGTCCCCTGAAGGCAAGGAGAGAGCAGCCCTCTGCTTCTCTGGTGGAGATGCTATATGGGGCAGCCATGGCTCCAATCATGAGGTAGGGACACACTGGCTGTGCCCATAGAGCTCATCAGTTAGCCTGGTCCTGCAGGCCATAGGCCATGAAGCTCATTAGGTGGGTGAGGTGAGGCGGGGGCAAGGCACAAGCCTGCTGGGGATGGCAGTGGGAGTGAAGGATCCCTCAGGAAGACACAGGAGGGAGGCTGCTCATGATGACTGGGACCTCGATGCTGCCATTTTGAGGGGTCTGGTGCCCCCACCGCCTCTCAGGATTGGGAGCTGGGCACTTTCATGAATGTTTGAATGAGGGGATCAGGACAGCTGAACACCCATGTTGGTTTGATTGCAGTGAACTGAGCATAAGAGCACTGGAAAGAACCGCCCGGGTCAAGCCTGTGACACCTCCCCTGACCCAGGAACTGTAGAACAGGTTGTGAGGGATGTGGCTGCCCTTCTGCACATCTTCACCATCTTCTCCTGAAAGATCCTGGGGTGGGTCTCTTATTCATGAATCACTTGCACTTGCCTGTTAAAAAGGTTTTAACATCATTTTATAGGCCCTCCTCTTGAATACTGACCATTTTGACTTTGAACCCAGTAACTGTCCAATGAAGTGATCAGGAAAGGTAGAGGCCGAGAGAGGTGGAAAGGTAGAGGCCGAGAGAGGTGGGCGGCTTGCTTGACGCAGGACAGCTAAAGACCAGGAGTTCTGCCTTCCTCACACTCCCCAGGATGGTCACACTCACCGGGCTAACCCCTGGACACAGGTTAGCTTTTTCAGAAATAGATTAAAATAACCTCACTCTTCTGAATTTAAAGGACACTCTGACTCTTTCCCAGTTTTTAAGATATCCTAGGTATTGAATAAAACAGAGAAGCTTCCCTTTGCTCAAGGATAACAGCCTGAAATCAGCAGACAGATCTGGGCTGTCCAGCCAGCTTGCTCTCTATCAGTCGGGGTCCCTTTAAGATGCAAAACTTGGAGGTAGGGAGGTCAAATGCAGGCCAGTGGAAGTTTCCACACTCTGTCTGTCTGGGCCAGCGTCTCTGTCTATCTCAGCTTAGGAAGGGTGGGCCCTTTTCCCACAGGCTTGAGATTTATGACTTTAGTCTGGGATGGTGGGGGTGGGCGTTGGCCTTCCCTACAGGAGCAAGTGGGTCTCTTCAATGGTAAACAGAGTTACAAAGAAAATTCCAAATGGGTACCCCTCAATCTGTGTCAGCCTTGCTCCCTGGTCCTTTTTCTCCTTGTGAGTTACACACACACACACACACACACACACACACACACACACACACACTATGTGCACATGTCCTCAGCTATAGAATGAGGCACAGTGATAGTGGTTTGTGTCTATATGTCCTGAAGTCCTCAGCTCAAATAAATCACCAGATTCCCATTGACCACATAAGGCAGAAACTTTTAGTTGTTACTTGAAAATACATTAAACACATACAAGCACACGTGCACACCCCCATTCTGAAAGCTTCTCACCTTGACTTCTAGCCCTCACCAGTACTTCTGATAAATCTGTCCTTCTGAGCAAAGCTGGAAGTATTCTCTGTCTGTACCGCCCTGCAGTTACCTGTTCGTGGAGATGTCATCTTCCTGCCCCCAAGAGTTTTCCTTTAATACACTGAAATATTGAGAAGCAAGAGCTGTAAGTATTGAAAGTCCTTGTGGAGATTAAATGGGAATCAGAAATCAGCAACTGGCTGGCTGAAGCCTTAATTATCAGTGGAGGGACACTCACAAGGAAGGAATTTGGGCTGAGTTGGGAAGGCTGGGGTGAGCAGTGATGTGGACACTGTGTGTGTGTGTGTGTGTGTGTGTGTGTGTGCGAGCGTGAGCGCATGTACATGCATGTCGAGGGTGACGACAGGGAGAGGCCTGCCATCAGCTTTTTATTAAGAGAGTTTTTAAATGGTCCTGTGTTTTAGGAAATCTGAATAAAGTTTTGTGCTTATGGGAGAATTCTCCCTACTTTCTTCCATTGAAGGCAGTATATCCTAATGAGAACACAGGCCCTGAAATCAGACTATCTGAATCTAAATCCTGGCCCCATGATTTCTAGCTGTGTGACTTGGGCAAACTCCTAAACTTCTCCAAGCCTCAGTTTCCTTGTCTGTAAAATGGGCACGATCAGAGCACTGACATTATAGAGTTGGGAGTGCTGAACGCCTAGCCCAGGGAGGGAAATCTGACTATTTCTTAATTTTCTATCTGAATTGACATTTGGGTTATTCCACATTTTTATTTCCTTACCTGTCACAACTCATAAACCAACCAAAGTTTTTACTTCCACAACAGAAATGCTTTGTTTCCTTAAGGAAGCTGTGCACAAACTGCCCACTACTCTGCCATTGAAACAAAACACACATGTCCCCACCTGACACTCTAGTGCCTTGTGACTTTATCTGGGGATAGAGCTGGAGCTGAGGTGTCAGCGTAAAAGGGCAAGGCAACTTTCTTCTCTCCTGGGTCAGGGCTGCCTGGGATGATTTATTGGAGTGAAGTGACCCCTGAGGCAGAGGGAGGAGGACAGCCATCACAGGATGGAACTGACATTCCTTCCTGTGCCTAGAAGGGCACTCTGCCTGTGGAGAAGCGGGTCAGGGCACGCACACTGATTCAGCCCTGGCTGTATGTGGGTAGGAGCCGATGCGTGTGCTGGGAACATCCTGCAAATGCTGTCGGGATGCCTGGGGACAGCTTGAGTTCTGCCACCGACCAGATGTGCAGTCTTGAGCAAGTTGCCTCGCTTTCCTGAGCCTCATCGTCCTCATGTGTCAGACTGATATCCACGACGCCAGCCCATTTCTCCTGCAGACTTCATGACAATCCCTTCCTTCCCTCCCTACACATGCTTACACGTGCACAAGTGCACACAACATATGCACATGCATGCTCACGTAGAAGCACATGCATGCGGCTGGGTGTGGTGGCTCATGCCTGTAATCCCAGCATTTTGGGATCCCACGAGGCGGGCGGATCATGAGGTCGGGAGATCAAGACCATCCTGGCTAACGCAGTGAAACCCCATCTCTACTAAAAATAGAAAAAATTAGCAGGGCTTGGTGGCGGGCGCCTGTACTCTCAGCTACTCGGGAGGCTGAAGGAAGGGAATGGTGTGAACCCGGGAGGCGGAGCTTGCAGTGAGCCAAGATCATGCCACTGCCCTTCAGCCTGGGCGACAGAGCAAGACTCTGTCTCAAAAAAAAAAAAAAGAAGCACATGCATGCACGCTCACAATACACCATAGTTGCAGGCACTCATGTCTATAAACGCATGCACGAACACACACACATCACCCACATGTGCTCTTCCACAGCTATCTGAATTGTATCCAGTTCAAGTTCCACCTCCTGACTTCCTGGGCCTTCCCATCCTACCCTCATCACTTGCTTGTCTCAACTTCAAAGCCTCCCCATACAAAGTCTCACTTTAGTTACCTTGTCATGTTTGAATTGTTATACTGCTGTGCTGTGTTTGTCTCTCCAAATGCAGTTAATTCCTTGACAGACTTAGGTGCAAAGATCTCTCCCCGAGAACCTCCATAGCGTGCACAAGTGAATTTCCTGTCATGATAATGATGCTTAAACTCCAGAGCCCTTCATTGGCACAATGCACGTACACAGTCACGTGTTTTTATGTAGCTGGCAAAAGTGAGATATTTCAACTATAATCTCTTAAAACCATTGTTTCTCCCTGGCATATTTCCCCCTGGCATCCCCTTCCTCATTTTGGGGGGCATTGATGCTGCCACTTTGAAAACTAGCTAAGGGGCAGTTGAGCTGGGGCTGTGTTTGGTTTAGGTTCAGTGCGAGGTGTTTGTGTAGTTTTAGTCACCTCTCTGTGTAACTCACTCATCAGTAGCTGTCACCATGTGGAAAAAGCTGCCAGGAACACTCCTGTTACCCACTGTGCAGACATCCTCTGTCTTGTGCCATGAAAGGGATGCAGTTGTACAGAGACCTGAGTATCTGTGTCCTGCAGAGCCCAGCACTGGAAGCATATAGATGGTGAAAGAGAAACAAGTTTTTAAATGCCCAGAGCCAGAAGCTACTTGGCGGGAAATTCCTCCAATCATTAGGTATGTAAAATCACAAGAGCATTCTCATCACTGCCTCATCAAAATAAAAGTTCTCTCTTGTCAAGAATACACTCGATCATGCAAAGTAATAAAATTATATATGCACCATTCATCTTGTTTCTTTTTTGATGGGAATTACTGACTTAGAATTTATCAGAATCCCCATGTTTAAATGTCTTGCTGATTTGACAGGAAATACTGACATTGATGGAGATAACATAAAACTCATTATACGCCACTACAATGAGGGCATCGATGACAATCTGGTTAGTAAGTTTCATAAATTCAAAGAGCATTTTAGATTTGTTGCTGTGAAAGAAAAAATGCCCTGAAATCTCATAGCTCATATGTGAAAGATACTTGACAGAGGTTTTCCCAAAGTTGATAACAATCCTGAAAATTCACGTGGCATTACCAGTGACAAATTGTGAGACTGAAAGAAACCTTTCCAAACCGTGAATAATAAAGTACAAAATTTGATCAGCTTGTTAGAAGATAGACGGAATTATCTTTGTATTCCCTCTATAAAGTCATATTGAAAAATTATAGTCATTTAAAGAGATGATCAAAGAGTTTGCAGTTTGGTAAAAGATAGACTGAATTATCTTTGTATTCTCTCTATAAAAATGATATTGAAAAATTATAGTCATTTAAAGAGATGATCAGAGAGTTGGTAGCCAAAAAAAATGTAGGAAGAAAAGTATTACGGATGTGTCAGACAGTTATTTTAGATTTTGTGGTGCCTGTAGAATTTGTCAGCTTTTTAAAATGTGTAATTTGTTGTGACTTCATTCTTTCTCAATAAAATTATACTTTCGAATGTAATTTTGCATTTGGGATTTTGAATTCTTTTCTTTTTCTTCAAGAGGGCCTTCTAAATTGTGAAAGCTTCTGGCCCCACAACACTGGTCTGCCCTTATGTTCCCCCCAGTTCCTACAGAGAGCTCCCGGTCACAGCACTCTTTGGCCTGTGGCTGCCAGCACAGACTTTGGCCATGAGGGCGGGGTCTGGGGTGGCACTGACAAGGCACCCATCCTGAGCCAGTGGGGGATGCAGGTCTGGCAGACCTCACACATCTTTAGAGACCACCTGCCTCTCATTCTACAAGGGGCAAAACTTTTGTCACACTGCCTCAGAGGGCCCAAACCTTCCCACCAACCGTCTTGTCAGGGCCTGGCTGGGCCCTGCCAGCCCCCCTGCGTTTCCTTTTAATAAAATTTAATGTTTTCATTTTCAAAGACCTAGAAAATCCAAACACTTTTTAAAAGCCCCGAGGAACTATAAAAATTAATAGCACAGGGATAATTTCTTTTTCAGTGGCGACTCAATTAAACCTGCCAAAGTCAGACAGTGTGATTTAAATGCACCGCTTGCAGAGGGACCAGAGCAGAGCAGGCAAACATGGAATGAAACAATAATATTTACCAATTACCCTCTTGGTTGTTTCCCACCCAGCCCCTTCCCCCCAGGGAGAATTTTTTCCTTCCCTCCCTCCTCTCCGGGGGCCAGAGCTCAGCATCCCTAATTGTTTTCTCCTTGAATGATCATATTGCTATCAACAAGTGACTGAACTTCTTCTCTGCTCAGAGTAATGGAAAAATACCACCCAGGCCGGCTGCCCGGGCCAACAAGCCACATGGACTTGTTGTGGGGCTAAGATCAACTTTGAAAACAGAAGAATGGCTCCAAGTTCAATCCAGCCAGACACTCCAGCCAGACAAGACATCTAACATTCCATGCTTAGTCCTGCCCCAGGACACTTGCTCCTGCTGTCCCCCTGCCAGGAATGCCCTCTCTCCTATTCATTGAACACTTACTACTGAGCACCTAAAGCTTGTATTTTCTTCAAGACCCCTATCAAGATCAAGTTCCTTTAGGAAAGCTTTCCTGATAAGACCCATATCCATGTAGATTTCACTCTTACTTGGTCTACCTTCAGCTCTTCTCTATCAGGTCAACTGACATTATCTTTTAATTACGTATAGACTGGGCACTGTCCTAGAGCTTTTAACTTGTAGATTCACAACATGCTTATCTGTTCTGCTAGACTGTAAGCTCCTTAAAGGGAGGAACTCTTCTGAATGCATCTCTTAGAATGATTCAGTGTATTTAGTTTGGTGTTGTGCACCCGATGGAGGTGTACTAATTGCATTTGAACTGGAACGGGGAGTCTCAACATTTTCTCTACAACAGGAGAGAGAACTGGGTGCCTCAGGAAATAGGCACAGGAATTTCAATGCAGCATTGTTTGCTTAAAAAAAATATATACCTGAGCTAAATGTCCATCCATGAAGGCATGGATAAAGAAATTAGGGAATATGATGACTTGCCATAGAGCAGTTAAATAAAGAAAATGGAGTCAAATCATCAATCTATATAGATCCCCAAATAGAAATGTTGAGTGAAAAAGACAAGTTGCAGAATAATGTTAAGATACAATTATGTAAATTCAGTGCCATATCGACAAATACTATATAGTGTTTTAGAGATCCATATGAATATATCCATTTGAGAACACACGGATGAAAAAGAAATATGTACAATTCATAATAGGGTTGTTGCTGGAGAGGGAGGGAGGGGAGTGGGAGTGGGACCTAAGAGTTTTTAATTCCTTCTGAATATTTTTCATTTTTATTAAAAAATATGAAGCAAATAAGAGAAGGTTAACATTCACTATTTCTGCTTGGTGAGTACATAGGTGTTTGTGAAGTAGAGTCAGGCATGATAGCCACCCAACGGGCTGCCCCTCCTCCTGGCATAAGACTGGACACCCTTTCCCAGCCTCATTTGCAGTGAGCTGCAGCCAGGCCAGGAACGTGGCCTCTGGAACACCTGGCCTGGGTTCCGCAGCCCTAGCAGCAGACAAACTGCTTGTTTTGCTGTCACTCTCTTGCAGAGAGCTTCCCCAGACTAAGTGGGACTATAGGGAACAGGAAGAGGGAAGCATGACCACTGAGCAAAGTCCCAAGGCCTTCTTCTGCCCACAGGATGGATTTTCAGCTGGCTCCCCGACAGGCACGTTGCCTTCATTCACCCTCCTACCCAGAATGTCCTCCCTACAGCTGTTATGGCACATACTCAACCATAAGACTCTTCTGCCTGGTCCAGGCCACTGTGGCTGGTGACAGTGGCCTCCCGTGGCTCATCCCTCACTCCTCATATCCTCCCTCCAGTCCTCAGAAATCTTATCTCTACTGCTTATTTTGTCTTTCACCACACAGTATCCTGTGCTGTTGCTTATATCTTGGTGACAGGGACAATGCCTTATCTTTGTATCTCTCTGTCAGGGAATGACCTAAGTTGACTTTTTCCGTGTTAAGCAGAAGAGAAGAGAATAGCAGTGTTTAATTTGGTCTTCCTCTAGGAGCCCAATGAGGATAGCACATTGGCCTCTTCTGAGGCTAGAATTTCTAGAGTTGGGGTAAAAGGGACCCTTCCTGGAGAGAGGTGGGGACAAGCAGGAAGTCAACCCCAGGACATGAAAGAGGTGAGGGTATGGGGGCTCCAACAATGAGCTGTTGGGGAAGGGGCTGAATTTTATTTTCATTTCAGAGAAGATCAAGGCTAACTCTAGCCAGGGTTTCTTGCATTGCTTTAAACTTTATGGCTTCCTGTGTTTCTTATTTTTGTTATCACTTTTCATTCCTCCATAGGGGCTTCATATAAGTTCCCTTAGAATGCAAGGGGATTGTTTGTCTCAGAGGCAGCTGGGCAGGTAGGGGAGATATCTGGAATCAACTTCCTATTCCTCAGCCTATCCTAGAGGAGTAGAAGGCTCTGTTGAGAGGGTTGGAGACCATGGCTGAGAAGGAGGGCCAAAAAGGGGCTAAATCCCTGAGGTATATGGATAAAAAGGAGGTGGCAGTGGGAAAGTCCAGGATGGAGAGGAGATTCTGGGGGTAGAGATGGGGTCTTCATCTGTGGTGGAGCAATGGTCAGTTACTGACCTTTTGGCCTTAGACAAAGCTATTTAGCCTCTCTAAGACTCAGGTTCCTTATTTTTAGAAAAGAGATAATACACCTTGGCTGGTCTGCTAAGGTTTTAATGAATAAAATAGGTACAAGTGTTTAACAACCACTGGGTGCTATCCAAATATATGCTATTGCCCTGGCTAATGCAGTAGATGCCAGACAAATGCAGGCCAGTCAGAATGAATAGGCAGATGACGATGAAGCAGTGAGCTCCCTGGGAGGGGGCATATGTTCATAGGTGGGTCCAGAGGTCCAGGGCAACGTGTAGGCAGAGGACATTTAATAGGGACTTGGGCCACACCCAGGAAGCCTCTGCTCCATGACCTTGATGTGGTGATCCCTTATCTCCTGAAGGCCAGACACCTTGGGTCAAACATTCTCTTCCCTAGGGAACAGCCTTTGGGCTGAAACCTGGTACTTTCAGCTAATGGTGGATCCTGTGGGTTCTGGCACTACAGCTGGAGGCCACAGTAGGGTGCACCCCAAGGAGGACAGGGAAAACAAAGCAGTCTCTTGGATGTTAGTAATCTAGTCTCTACTGAGTTTAGCCAATGGCACCAGAGCACCATAACCACATGTTTAGAAAATAAGGTGACAACAATGAAGGTGATTAGAGAAGGCTTTGGTACAAATCCAAGTTGTAAATATTTTGGAGGAGAGTGGGAGGACCATATGGATTTTATACCACAGGGCTTTGTCCACCTGAGACACCTAATTTCCCATTTTTTCTGGGAGACAAAGTCTGAACATCCTATTTGGACACTGGAACCTCCCACAAAGTGGCCAGATGGTATTTCTGGTGATCTCTCCTACTTTGGCTGTCTTGTACAAGCCTCCTTTCTGCTGAGTGAGCAGAACACACTAACCCATTTTAACGTGCCATCTTGTTCCTTTTTTCCTAGCCAACTCTACCATCTCATCAGAGCCCAACTCAAATCTCACCTTCTTCCCACAGGATTAAGGGGTTCAACTTCAATGACAATTCTTGATCTTCACCACTCTTCCATTTCTAACCTCCCCAAATGCTCAGTGCCTCTTTCCTTTGTTTGACTTTTTAGCATTCTCTGACTAACATTGTGGCTGCTTACGTATCTCATCTTTTCTTTTATACTATGAGCCCCCTGAGAGAACTGATTGAGTTTAGCCTATAACCCCCTCTAATCCACCTAGCACAATGCTGGACACATAAGAAACTCAAAGGGGCCAGGTGCAGTGGCTCATGCTTGTAATCACAGCACTTTAGGAGGCCGAGGCGGGCGGACCACGAGGCCAGGAGATTGAGACCAACCTGGCCAACATGGTGAAACCCCGTCTCTACTAAAATACAAAAAATTAGCCAGGTGTGGTGGTGCACACCTGTAGTCCCAGCTACTCTGGAGGCTGAGGCAGAGGAATCGATTGAACCCAGGAGGCGGAGATTGCAGTGAGCCGAGATCGTGTCACTGCACTCCAGCCTGGCGACAGAGTGAGACTCCGTCTCAAAAAAAAAGAAACTCAAAGGATTCTATCTCTATCTCTTGGAAAGATAGAACCCTGGTGACCAAATAATCCTTTGTCCCTTGGTATCTATGGTCAAATGGACACTTGTGGCGAATTCAAACTCATGCTCTCCAAGGTGCAAGCACTAACAGGTGACCCAACCTGACTTTGGCTCACACTTCCATAGTTTCTAATCCACCCCAGTGAGACTAAAACTCATGATTATTTCCTACAGAAAACACAACACCTGTGGTGATGCTGCTTTTGTGGTTTCTTCTCTGCTCTACACTCAGTTTCTGACCACTTCCCTTCCACTCCTGGGACACAAACTCACAGTCCAGTATGAGCTCCCACATGGCCCTCCTTACCAGTGCCATTCCTCTCTCATTTCCATCTTCTCTGTACAGTGTCTACTGCTCCAGTGCTTACTATTTAGCTGGGGTGAGTGTGATGAGCCAGACTCACAGATTAATACTGTATAAGGCAGGGTCGTACTAGTGACATAAGTGATGCTTTCCAGAAAGACTGAACTGGCTTCAAGTGGGTGTCCTTAGGGGTCTACAATAAGGAGACAGCATTTGAACTGAGCTTTAGAGGACAGATGGGATTTGGAAGGACAAAGGAGAGAGAAAGGTACCAAATCAAGAGCCAAGGGTGTTAGGAGAAAGTGACTTGAGAGAGTAGCTGGAAAGGAGGGACTATAGGAGGTGGAGAAGAAAGGTAGATGAAGGACCAGGAATTGGAATGATCTGAGAGGCTACCTGGCAGACAGCTTGGCAGGCCCTCAATAATGCCAGGTATTTATACCTGAAGTGGTTTCTGAGTGTCTTTGAGTGGACATCCTGGGTGTGTCACTTATGGAAATGCCCCAATCCTCAGGTATGGGGTGAATTCATCAGGAGTTAAAGGGAGGACACCCTCATGGGTCTATACTGATGCCAGTCTAGGAAGGGTCTCTCCTAAGTGCCTAACCTGCTTTAGGGTGTGAATGGTCTCTAGGAAGGATTAATTAAATGGGCAAGAAACTATGGCTAGGCTCCTTGCAAGGACAATGAGAAAGCACTTGCCAGGCAGAACAGGCAAAATAAGGGAAGAAGACCACACTAGGAGGGGATGCCTAACTCACAAACTCCAGGCCCAATATATGGGGCCTCTGACATTGTCTTAGGAAGGGAAAAACTTCTCATGGCCGTCATCCAACTCCAGAGAAGCTGAGAATAGGGACCCTGAAAGAGGCAGCATTTGGGGACATTTTTGGGAGGTGAGAGGAGAATGTGAGTCAGACCCAGCTGCTCGAGGCTATTTCCAAACACCTTTTCCTTAGGAAGTTCAAGAGCACATAGCCACAGAACCTGAGCCTACAGTGTGACAGGATGCCAGGAAAATAAATGCAACTTACACACATTAATGGAGCCTGGCAGCCTGGCTTGAGCATGTTAGGCACTGCTTTCAAAGAGACGCATTGGCGACTGAGGACATCAAGCTCAGCATGGCAGGGACTAGAGGGAACCTATTGCAGAAACAGTTAGAGAATGGGAAACAGGTAGCATGGCATGAGATGATGGGGTGAGAATGAAGCAGGTTACAAAGCTGCAGCAGTCAAATGTCTATTGAACTGTGACTGGTCGAGGGTCAACACTGTGGCCAGTGCTTCCATGGCAGCAAAACTAAGAATGCAAAGGATATTGGCTTCCAAATACCTGAGAACTGTACAACAAGCAAAGGTGCTGGCTGTGCTAGCATTGGCTACTCTTTCTTGAACACTTACCCTATGCGGGGAGTGATGCTATATTTCACTGTAGCATAAACCTGGTTGGACTCAGATTTGCAGATCTGTTACTTTGGGTTTATTTGGGACATGTGGGAATGCCTTCTTTTGGTGGGTGTATTCTAAAGATTTCTTATATGCATAAAGTTTTTGGCAATAACAGTGTAAGAGTGGTGTGTCTCAGGAGTGGGAAAGTCAAAACCATGTACCCCTATGGGAGCTCCATATTGGAATCGACTGCCTACATCATTTTTGGCAGGCACAGTCAACACATCTGTGGATTTAGCTATATACAGATTGCATACAATGTCATAGGTAGATAAATATAAATTGTATTGTGTAAATATAAATACAGAATTTTAAGCAGCAGGGAAATCACAATATATATTGTCTCATTTAATCTTCACACGAATCCCATGATTTAACTACTATTATCTTCATTTTACAGAAAGGGAAGTCAAGACATAGAGAGATTAAATAAATTGCTCATGCTCAATTAGCTGGTAAGTGTCTGAAGTAGGCCGAGAACCCAGACCTCCTTGAAGGTCTTAGTTTCTATGCGCTACTGGAGGTATCTACACAAGGCATAAAGGAAGACTTGTCAGGGATGCTGATAAGAGAATTTTTGCCTTATGGGTAGGGTTTGATAAGATTCCTTCCATGTCTTCAGGTCTGTGGTGTGGCATCTGGGGTTTTCAGGAGGCCACACCATAGACCTGCAGGGTAAAACACTAAAATATATGATAAGGTGGTTTCTGTGGTCTGCATGTTGTGTTTCCCCAAAATTTATATGTTGAAATCCCAACTTTCAAGGTGATGGTACTAGGAGGTGATTCAGTAACGAAGGAAAGCACTCATGAATGCAATGACTGTCCTTATGAGAGGGACTTTGGAAGTGTCTTTGCCCCTTTCACCACATGAGCATGTAACGAGGAGAAAATGGCAGTCTGCAACCCAGAAGAGGGCCCTCACTAGAACCTGACCATGCTGGCACCCCGATTTTGGACTTCCAGCTTTCAGAATTGTGAGAAATAAATGTCTGTTGTTTATAAGCCACCCAGTCTATGGTAATTTGTTATAGCAGCCCAGATGAACTAAGACAATGAGCTGGACCCTGCACACTCCAATGCAATGCCAACGATGTGGAATTGGGCAGGCAGTCTGGCACAAGGGCAAGGTGAGTGAAGTCTGTTTACACCCCCAGAATCCCTGTTTTCTTTGTAATTTTTCCTTGCTGTTTCTTTAATGTTACCCAGCCCTTGGCGACCCAAGTAGCTGATCTGTCTCCATGAGGGAACATTAAGCAGCCAAATGGAGAAAACTCAAGCTGGAGGCCTCAAATACATCCACTCAGAGTGTCTAAGCATTTTTTGATTCATAATAAAAAAAATTCCTATCTTTGCCTTGGAGATCCAGAGATGCCCTGATTTCTGGTGGGATGGGAAGTGTCCACTTTGAATTCTAAGATTGGTTTATGTATGAATCCTCATCAGCCATGAAGAGTCTGTTGAGCTTTTTTTCTGTAGATTGTATTAAGGAAGTCACAGGTAGACTCTTTGGTTTTCAAATACAGCTGCTCCCCAACTTATATTTTTGACTTATGATATTTTCAATGTACCATGGGTTTATCTAGATGTATCCCATCTTAAGTCAAAGAGTGTACTGAGTGTGTATCACTTTTATACCATCAGAAAGTTGAAAAATCATAAGTCAAACCATTGTTAAGTCAGGGACCATGTGTATAAAACTATATTATACCATTGAATGTTCTTATTAAAACCATGAATGCTCCCTTCTCCCCTCCCCTTGGAATTGTGATATACTCCTTATGAGGGTATGCTACCTTGTACCTCTGCCCTCACAACTGAGAATCACTGGTCTCCTGGAACCCTTATAGCTGAGAAACCAGAGATAGGAATTAACTTGGTCACAGCCACAAAATAACTTATTCAGCTCATTCAATTTGGTTCTAGTCAACAAATATTTATTGAGCAACTACTACATCCCTGGTATCCTAAAGGCAACAGGTACATTTGCAGTTTCAAATCCATCTCAAGGGAAGGAACTCTCTGACTAAAGGACTGAGTGGTAGAATTTTGGTACTGATGGGGAATAGTCTTACTAAAATCCCACATTACAGACAAATGTCTGCATAACTAATATAAAAAGGATCAGCCCTGCATGGATGCCCAGGTTTGAAGATGGCAAGAAATGAGGGGGTTTAGAGATCTTTCCCTAAAGTAGCAGCATATCTGCTGCTCCTCTCTTGTCAACACCCTCTTCTCCTTGGAACTGGTCTTATACCCTGCCTGCTGTTTCCTTTGTTGTCGTTTTATCCCCACCATGTTGGGCAGAAGGGCGGCCCTCCTTATTCCCCCCCACACCCCCATCCTTCCCAGCACAAGGTTCCATTCTTTATTAATGCTGTTTTAAAGCCAGCACGGAGCTGTTTTCCAGATGTGGCCATGCGCAGACAGTAATTGTGCTCTGTGATCCCTTCCAGCTGCTCCCGTTGCTTGCCAACAAATTCCCTCCACCCCCACCTTGCAGCCCCAGGAGTCCATGTTTGGGGGCTGCAAATTAGGGCAAACGTTGTAAAATGATCATGTGCTACCCATGGCCTTCCCCAGAAGAATTATGGACTTTATAACTGAGCTAATTGGCATTAGGTCTTGCCTGAAAGGTCAACAGAGTGGCAGAGAAACAGGATCTTTGTAAATTGATCGGTTGCTTTCCCCCTTCTTCCCCCCAACTCCCTTTCCAGTTTTGAAATATGGCCTACCTGCCCCATGGAATTGCTGACTCTTGTAAATTACTGCTTTGACTGTATGGGACTGTGACACATTGTCTCATATCACGTGGAAGCCAGTGGGGATGTTGAAGGGGTGCATAATTATACCCTGCAAATTCTTCTACCATACCGCAAGCTTCGGCCTTCATGCACCTCTGTGAAGTGGGGCATTGTAATGCTCTTGACCTTCAAATCAGGCATGATTATTCAAGAGTAGCATACAGCCTTTGGCTTTTTTATTTATTTAGTTTTGCTCCGAATACATGAGTTCATTTGGAATGATCTTGCAGCACAGCATACACCATTGCCTTTCTGTTGTTTCTCAGATGGGAACCCTTGTATGGCGTTTTTTTCATTCCACAAATTCTTATTGAGCGTGTTATAGGCAGGGTCCAAGACTGACTTTAGGAGGGAAAGAAAGCTGTCTTCTGGAGTCAGAAATGTTATGTTCTAGCTATAGATTGTGTGGGTCCCTTTCTGCTTAGGGCCAACTGAAGCCTTATGGTTTTGAAATGTCTGTCCTTCCCACATCTGGCACTCACTATTTGGGGTTAAGCGTTGAAGGTCCTTGCTAAAACATACATAATATTTGGGAGGAATAACTCATTAAACTTGTGGTTCTTGCCCTTCTCCCCTTTTTTTCTTAGTAAAGGGCCCTCGAGAATCTAATGAAAGTTGACCTCATACAGCACACCCTCACCCCACTCACAGGCATTTTGCTTACAATCTCCAGCTGTTCTTGACTCTTCAAATCTCAACTATGGATCAATGCTAAGTTAGGAATCCCTGCTCAGTTGTCATCCTCACCCATCAACACTATTGCCCACTTAAGCTGATTAAGCCCCTTCTAGCAGAGAGGTTGGAGGAATCAGGGCTTAGGCTGGTCAAGGGAATGGGAAAAGTGAGGGAAGCAAAGCTTCAGTGGCCTACTTTGGGGCCACAGTGACATAGGGGGCCTGAAAATCAACTATTTGTATGTACAATTCTTTTTCAAATGTATGGAAGCCCTGTTGGGCTATGAACATTGTGGATTTGTTTAGAAATGTGGACATCAAGTGTTTGCCCAATCCACAAATGCCAAAATGGTAACTGTTATTAGGCTGGGAAGTGTTTGTAAGGTTATTAAATGACAAACAGGGTTTTTTGAGCTGGGAAATTTGGGAGCCCCTGATCTACCCTGTCACCTGGGTAGATCTGATGGCCCAGGTCACCATCATCTCTCACCTCATTGCTACCTTAGCCTGAGCACATTCTCCTTTCTTCTATCCCTAGCCAACACTGCAGCCAGGATGATCCTTTTAAAATATTAGGTTCTCCTAAATTGAACCCTCCCATGGCTGCTATCTCACCCTGAGCTAAAGCCAAATCTTTGCCATGGCCTCATGCTCTGGGCTGATCTGTTGTCCTCCCCTTTGCTTTCTTTCCCCCAGCTCTGCAGATCCCTGCTGTTCCTCAAACATGCTGGGCAAGTGCCCATCTCACGTCTTTTGCACTGGCTGCTACCCTCTGCCCATCACACACCTGTTCTATGTCTTCAGATAGCTGGTCTCCTTCCCCCTTTCCAGGTCTCTGCTCCTCTTTGTCTAACCACTGCCTGCCATGACACTCTTCCTCCCTCATCCATTTTGTTTTTCCACACACACCCAGCACCACATAACTTCATGGTTATTTGTTTTTGTTTGTATTTTCCCACCAGAACATCAGCTCTGTGAGAACAGGTACTTTGTCCAAGGTGTCTATGGCTGCATTGTAGTGTGGGCTAAGTCGGTATTTGTGAAATGAATGAGTGTCCCAGCTTGAGGACACGGGGGTTGGGGGGTGGGAGAGCAAGAAAGGAGAAGGGAAACTCACACAAAGAAAATGCAGGGGGTGGGGGAGAGAAGGAGCCTGGGGCTGGCAGGGCCCAGCTGCATTCCCCTTCTCCTTGCTGCTATGCGGGCCATGGGAGTCAGAGGACTGAGGCTCAGTCACTCAAACTCATGGCACCTCATCTATCACATGGAGCATGTCCCTTGTTGTCCTTTCTGCCCTAATGCAAGCTGCATGGAGAGTTTTCTTGGGCCCATTTCATTCTCCTGTGTCCCTTGTATCTTTCAACGCCAAGGAAGGGTGGGCTAATAATTAAGGACATATATGGACAAGAGCCCTGTATGGGTCACGGATCTGCTACTAAAAAGTTAGTTATTTCACTTCTCTGGGTCTTATTTCTAAAGCTACAAAATAGAAGGGTTTGTTAAGAAAATCTCAAAATCTAAGTGATTCTATTATGAAAAGGAATGTGAGATGCAAATTAACTTTAAACTCTTATGAATACTATGCAATAGTACTTATGGCAATATCAGCTGAGGATCAGTGTTCCAGAAGGTGGCATTCAGATGGACAAAGGGAATTTCCACATAAGTCTCCCCTTCCAACTCTGGGATGTGGTGCAGACGACAGTAAACGTGGATGAGACCAGCTTTCCACTGTGAAGCCAGTGTATCAACATTTGTAGCCACTAGACATGCAGAAGTGCTACCTTTCACAGTCACTGCCCTGCCCTCCTCTGGGCCAACCTTCCCTCCCACAGCATGCACTCACTACTCTTCCCTTCTGTACATTTCCTGCTCCCCATGCCTTCATCTTACAGCCTCCCTACTTGATAGCCCTCATGTTGACACATCTCACTTCCCCTTTCTCCCAACATAGAGGAAGACATGCCAGAGAGCCTGGACTGACATCGAGGGCCGGCCCAGACAGAACCTGGTCAGAAGGGAGCCTCCCCAAATGGGTTGAGTTCTGTTGTCCCAACAGCGGTAGCTGTTTTCTTATTGGTGAGTTCCAAGCCCTTGGCCCCCAGTCTGCTGCAGCTCTGCGCTTTGAGCATCACACTGCAGCTTTTCCTTAAAAGGTTTTCACAAGTTCAGAGCAGTCCTGGGTATTGGGGAGTTGGAATTATTTTTACCCATGTGCAGCTGAAATAGCCATCTGCCATCACACCGCCCAGTTCCCCACTGTGTTTAAAATCCATCTGGAGTTCTTTTTTTTAAAATTCCCCATATTAAAAAAAATAGTGTCTTGGTGCAAAGGAAGGTATTTCTTCATGTCTTTCCTGCCTGTAGCAGAACTTGTCTTAGAGTACAGAATGAACTTAGGGCTACTCATTGCTTGTTCTAAGCCATATTGATTAATTATTGGTTCTAGGCCCATGTTTTTCCTTACTCTAGGGACATCTATCTTTCTGTATCTAAATGAAATTCACAGCCCAGCTCATGTCACCTCCTCCATGAAGCCTTCCTGATTATTCTAGCCCTCTCTTCTCTGAAGTCACTACAGCAGGAATAAGTCAGTTCCGTAGCTCTTAGTCCTTAATTTTCTTCTATATGCCTCACCTGTGTTGGCACTGTATCTCTCAGCTCTGTGACAACTGGGACTATGTTGATCTTGCAGTCATCACAGGACCTGTCCCAGAAGGAAACCTTCTATAGTGTCCTGGAATGTCCTCTAATCCCTTATTTTCCTCCAAGACTCCTCAGATCCAGCCTTAAACAGCTCAGATTTTCACCACACTTGGATTCTTATAATGTCAATGAAATTGCCAGAATTCAGTATAGTGCACACTCTCTGTCGAGAGCCATGAGGGGCTCAATAAATGACTCTGATAAAATGAAGGTGGTAATGGTGATTGAGCCATTCATTTATCTGTTAGGATCCTGATAAGTGTCAGGCACACAGGCAGGTTCTGGGGTTCAGGGATGAATACGCCACACTCCCTACCTTCAGAGAGCTCACAGTCTAGTGGAGGAGACAGACTGTGAGCACTTCAAAGTGATTTCAGATGAGGGAGCAATTAACTCAATATGGGATTTCCAAATTTTGATATTTGAACTTGAGGGTTCAGGAAGAGGATGCACAAGGGCATGGAAGTGGGAAGAACTGGGGGGTTCAGGGAGCAGCCATGGTTCTGTGTGGCTAGGGCAAAAGAGACATGGGAGATGCTGAGAGGTCAGCCTGGAAAGCAGGAGGGTGAGGAAGGGAGCCCCAACTTGCTTGGCAAGAGACTCCCACCCCAAGCTTCCTCAGTCATTGTTCAAATTGTAATGGGTACATTTATTAATGAAAACTTTTCTTTGGTAATGAGGTCTGTGAGTTATTCCTCTTCTACATGAAGAAGGACTTCCTTTGATTTATCTTATATTGTTCATTTCCATCTCTCTATGCAGCTTGATGTAGTTGACACCTCTTAAGTTCCTCATTGCCCTTAGTCCAGTTACATGCTCTTTAAAAAAAAAAAAAAATAAGACATGGAAAAACATTTGGAAACTAGGAATTGGGAGATATATCCTTCTATTACCTTCATGACTTTGGTCAATTTTTAAAACTCCTTTAGGCCTCAGTCTTGTCACCTAAAAAATAGGGAAAATAACACTAGAGCCATCTACTGTACTGGATGGTTATGAGGCTCATAGTATAACCATACATGTAAGAAAACCTCAAAACACAAGAAACTCAGCACAAACACAAGAGCTTATTACTCTGATGGAAGGAGCCAGTCACTCCTTCCTCTTGCAGACTCCCTTGCCAGGCTGCAAAACTTCACTAGGTCCCTTGGTCTCCCAAGGCAACTTGCCGTAGCATCCGACTAGCATTTTTGCCTCCACATAAGGCGGCATTTGCTCTTTAGGTATAATAAATTACCTGCACTCCACTGGGGCAGAGGTGGAAAGCGGTGAGGTAGAACGGATTTCTTCCCCCCTGCTTCCCTCCCTCTCCCTTTTCACGTTCACAAGTGCGCTTGAACAAGCTGTCTCCTGTCTGGGGAAGGCAGAGCTGGGGCTGCACTGAGGTGGGGCTCAGGATTTGAGAAGGCAGCTGCTCCATCCTTCCTCCCAAATGCTTTCTACAGCTTGGCTGGCTCTGGCCCTGCCATGCTGGTAGCACATCTGAATATCAGTTGTTTGCATAAATTGTGAGCCCAGCACATCGTAGTCCTTCTTTTGGGGCACCCCAGTTTACTGCCTCCAGGAATCCACCGAAGGCAGAGCATTGATGGACCAAAAGCCAAATTCCTACTTCATGAACTACTCCTCTCTAGGGAATGGTGAGGCCCCTTGTGGTCACATTGCCAGTCCTTTGTCCATTTTACTTCTATTCGAGCAGCATCGCATATCCATATCTGACTGTGAAGAAAGGGGAACTGGCAGCATAGGAAGGAGGATGGAGGAGGCGCTAGCCTTCGGCAATATTGTGAGACTAATCCTAAATGCCTCTCTTGGTCTACTCTCTGGGGTCCCTTTTACCTTCATCTAGGTGCACAGGATCTTTACAATACCTGCTGCAGATGCTCCAACATGCCATCCAGTCCTGTCCCCACAGTCCTACACTTGGCTGCATCTAGATTACCATCAAGGGGTCAAAAGATCACCAAAGGCTGGAGATCTGCCTTCCAGCTACAGGTTAAGTGACATCACCTGTGTAAACTTCAGCTTGTATACAGCAAGGGCAGTGAGTTGGGGAGGGATGAACTCTGATCCCGGGTAGCTGTAAACTATGTGATTCTTATTTTTTGTTTTCAGGATCTCATTCCATTGCCCAGGCTGGAGTGCAGTGGCATGATGATAGATCACTGCAGCCTCAAACACCTGGGTTCAAGCAATCATCCCACATCAGCCCCCTGAGTAGCTGGGACCACAGGTGCATGTCACCACGCATGGCTAATTTTTTTATTTTTTGTAGAGACAGGGTCTCACTTTGTTGCCCAGCCTGGTCTCAAACTCGTGCACTCAAGTAATCCACCTGCTTCAGCCTCCCAAAGTGTTGGGATTATAGGTGTGAAACACCATGCCCTGCCAAATTTGTGATTATTTAATCAAGTTCCTCTACTACTCTTTTCCCCGAATCAAAAATCATTTTTTTCCTGTGGTCCATCCTCTCAGGGTCTTCTTCCTCACTGAAGGAAGTCTTCTTCCTGTGCTAATGGAAAAGCTGATGCCACAAAGTGTCTTTCTGGTAGCCTCAGGCCCTCACTCCAAACTCCATTCTTAGCCTAAGCCCAGGATGACATCACAGGGCAGGCCTGCTTTCCTGTTTCCTTTTGAAGAACTTCCACTGGACAACAGTCCCTACATTCACTTCACGGCTATCATGGGTCATTCTCTTGTTTTGACTCCTGCCTCCCATAACCAGATTCCTGAGTTTCCCGACATCAGAAATCAAGCTGGCACCAGGCTGGGCCCTTGGAATGTTTTGAGTAATTGATTTCTTGGGAAAGACTCCAAGTCCTGGGCTACAAAGTCCTATTTGAACCCATTCTCCTAGCCGACGCTGCCCACCTTTCAGTCTTACCCTCCTCTGATCACCCCAGGCCAACCCTTTTGCTCTTTGGGCCCTCATAGACTTTCTCATTATCTGTCTGCTGTGCAGCCCTTCTGTTCTCCAAAGTCTCTTTCTATAAAAACGTCTTCCTGGGCCAGATCAATACTGGGCTTCAACTTCATTTCTTAACTACAATTCCTTACAGTTATGTAAGTATTTTACCAGCCACCTTCATGAAGATCATCTCATTTCATCATCTCCTAGACATTATCATTCCCATTTTAAAGGTGAGCAGACCAAGGGTCAAGGAGACTAAATGAGCCCAAGATCACAAGGCGGTCATCAGAAGGCCCACAAGGGGCTGGCCGGGACTCAGATACAGTTCCCAGGTCCCAAGCTAAGAGTTCCGTCAGTTCCAACATAGGCAGTGAAGCTCATGCATCAGTGGGGCTGTGGGCACTCCTATGCTCTGGCTTAGTTTATTCCAGAGTGGCCTGCTCCCTGTTCTGCGGCTCTCTTGGCTGAAGATATTCTAAGAGTCAGAGGAGGAACTGCTGCAGGGTAAGACAGACTGGAAGGGCATTGGAGGGAAAGGGCTTGGACACAGGGCATTTCAGGGGCACAATGTCAGGCTTTAAATGACCCTGAAAAAATTTTCCCTGAGAGGACTTGTTAAAGGTGGGAATGAGGTTCTCTGGTGTTCAAAGTAATGGGTTTCTAAACATCATAATGCCTCTTAATCCAAAATCAATAAAAGTTTTTCTTTTTTTTTCCTTTTGTTTAGCTCAGATAGCAAAATTCTTGGTTTCATAACTACAAGAACTGGTTGGTCTGGTAGCTACTGCTACCTGGGACATGAAGGAGCTCTGGACCGTCTGATTAGCCCATGCCCTAATCAGAAAGGAGTTTAAAAAGTGCTCTCTGCTCAGGTTGGCTCAAGAGGGTCCGGGGACCATAGATTAGTCCCTGGGTTGAGAAGGCTGGGCATGGTTTGATTATGTGTTTCCTATGCCTTCCAACAGTGGCAAGAGTAGCCAGCCCATAGGACGGAATGAAAATCAAGGTGGACCTTGCTTTAGGGACATCTAAAAGCATCCAAGAGAACAAATAAAATGAATAGCTCCCATTGAGAACTTAGTATTTGCCTGGCAATGTGCAATGTGTGTATATATATTTTTTTCTGCATTACAACCTCATGAGGTAGGTCCTATTAGTATACCCATTTTACAGATGAGGAAATTGAGGCACAGAAGTTTAAGTAAAATGCCCAAGGTTAACAACTAGTGAGTGATAGATTTGAAATCAGTCTGGCTTCGAAACCAATCCTTTGACTATTAAGCTCTTTGACCTTTCAGGGCTAAGATACACTTTTTGTGAAAGAATTGCCCACAGGCTTCCTTTCCATAGCTAGGGCTCTCCTGCTCCAGTAATGCTGATCACTGATTATAGGGTCTGTGTTAGAAACAGAGGCAGCTTCAGACAAAGAGAGGTAAAAGCATAGCTCAGTGTCTCTAGAGATTCAATTTCGTTTGCATCGATTCAACTCAGTTCCACACGGAATTCAGCATCACTGTGTGTCAGGCAGATTGCTCTGTCTTTAGGAGTCTCAGATGAAGCTGAATCAATTCAGAAATAATTTTTGAAAGCCTTAAATGTTTGAATAACTTCTCTCAGCAATTCTTCTAGGAGTTCGTTCTAAGGATATAAAATCCTGAATGTAGGGAATATTAGCTCTGAAGATGCTCCTCTTTGTTTATTGAATAGCAAAAGTAATAGGCATGTTGCTGGGATAGGGACAGACTGGTTATAACACATGTATCTAACACAGGCATCATAAGCTGCAATGACACAGTGGATATGTGGGCTGAGACCAGTGAGGCAGGAACGAGGGCAGTCAGCAGTGTCTTTAGTTCCACTGGAAATATACAAAAGGTTCCCAAAATCTCTCAGTAATAGTTTTATAGCATTTCTAGGAAAAAATAAATGCTTCATAGTTAGATTTATTAAGTATATGAGTGCAAATAAACGAGGAATACTTATGTCCTAACAACTTAATAGCTGTTTAAAAAATATTACACATAATTTGAAAGAAAAAATATATAAATCTCATTCTTAAATATATTTACTAATGGGATATGTGTACCTATTGAGCATCGCACAATTAAACTAGAGTCAGAATGGACACCTCTACCTTTGTTTCCTGTTTGATGATGATTTTCCCATGGTACTTGCTTTTTAACACAGTGACCAATGAAAACCCAGCTTTCCAAAGATGTGATGATACCAAGTGTAGCATGATCTACTGTTAAAATGCTGAGCTCACTCAAGCTGCTAGTCTGCATGGTGTCTGACAATACTGAATATCATGGCGTGTTTCTTGATAATTATAAAAATCCTAAACTGTCCTTGTGGTTTTCCTGTGGGAGCCTGGGGTTCTTTGGTACACAGTTTGGGGGCTGCAGACATATGTTCTCTTCTATTTTGATAGACATATGAGGACAAGAACTATTTCACTTCCATCTTGACTGTAGCAAAAGAAAATCAGCCCAAGAGCATGATAAATAGCAACGGACCCTCAGCCTGAGTTTTATGGAGGCCACAGAGAATGGGAGGGACTACAGCAAAAAGACAGCACCAGCAGCTTCCATCCAGCTCCACCTATGTGGCCCGATGGGGATGTGCTGTTACCATTTTTAAAATAAAAGCTTAAAATATTGACTTTAATTCTAAAATATTATTTATAACCACTGGGCAGGCTAATGCTATGCTACACAAACAAAGCATGTCCGCAGATGGTGTTTAGCTTGAAAGTTTGGGATACATAATATAACAAATTATCACGTAACCATTAAAATGACATTATTGGCCAGGCATGGTGGCTCATGCCTATAATCCCAGCACTTTGGGAGGCCGAGGCGGGCAGATCACCTGAGGTCGGGAGTTCGAGACCAGCCTGACCAACATGGAGAAATCCCATCTATATACTAAAAACACAAAATTAGCCGGGCATGGTGTTGCATGCCTGTAATCCCGGTTACTTGGGAGCCTGAGGCAGGAGAATCACTTGAACCCATGGGGCGGAGGTTGCAGTGAGCCGCGATTGTGCCACTGCACTCCAGCCTGGGCAACAAGAATGAAACTCCGTCTCAAAAAAAAAAAAAAAAAAAAAAAGACATTATTGATAAATATATATATAATCACATGAATACATATTTATAATATGTTAAATTTAAAAAGGTAACTAGTAAAAATCATAATATCATTTTTATAAAAGCTATTTATGGATACCAAGATGACTAAAAGGATATACAACCAAGGGTAGTGAAGATGGTTATTCCTGGGTAAGGCATCATGGGTGATTTTAATTGTTTTTTTCTTTGGCTTCTTTGTATTTTCTAAATGTTTAAAATAACCACATATTTCATCCAAAAAGTTTGATGTTTTTGTGTCGTTTTTTATAAAGAAACTTAGAATGATTACTATGAACAAGACAACATCAGGAACAAACAAGAATGCAATTGAAAGTTGTATAAGAAAAAGTCCCTGGTTATATAGACACTTAATGAGTGGGAGAGAGATCCTATATATTACTAGTACTGTATATACACTAATTGACAAAGCAAACAGGAGAGTTAAATGATTATATGTATATGTAAGTTGCTGAAGGGATTCAGGATAGGAAGAAAATTGGAGGCTGGGATGATCACAGAAGAAAGCTGTGTGTGGGGTACCCAAGACCATCTGAAGTTCAGTGATTTACTAAAGAACTTAAAGGACTCAGTATACTATCATACTCATTGCTAAGATTTATTACAGCTAAAGGATATAAAGCAAAATTAGCTAAGGGGACGGTGCATTGGGCGACTTTCAGAGGAAATCAGGCACAAGTTTCTAGAACCCTCTCCCAGTGGAGTCACATAAGATGTGCTTAATTCGTCCAACATTGGGTTGTGATAAGTGTAAAGTGCTATCCACCAGGGAAACCCATTAGAGACTCAGTGCCCAGCATTTTTACTTGGGGCTGGCCTCATAGCCACCCTTTGCCTCCACCTGCCAACATTTCAGAACATAGGTGTTTAGCATAAACCACGTGGTTTGTACAGTTTAGGCACAATGAGCCACTCTTATCAGTTAGGCAACGGTGGGAACACTCTTAAAATCCAAGTTCCTTGACACCAGCCAAAGGCCAACACTGCAACAGGCTTTTGTAGGGATAGCAGTCTCATATCTGCCATGTTTCCTTTTTTTCTGTACCAATGCCTTCATGGGGGAGAGGTGAGTTTGAGCTGAGCCATGTTTTAGGAAGGTAGAGAGAAAAAGGGAAAGGGTTACAGGTGTAGCCAATGCTCACAAAACAAGCTCTTTTCAAATATCAGAGAATCTTAATACTGAAAGGAGTTTAGAGGTCATTAGTCCAGTACTTTCCAAAGGACAAACTTATACCACTGGTGGTAAGCAAGACAATTTAGGCCATCTATGGATGAACAGTTTGTATTGTAGTGTTCATATATTTATTTTGATGTGTATTTAAGAGTCTCATGCTCTACCAACTGAGTTAGCTGGCTTCTATTTTGATGTGTATTTAAATATATAAGATAATATAATTTTATATATATGTGTGTATTTTTTTTCCCTTAAAACCCTGATACCACAGATATTATCTTGGGTAAGCCTATTATTTTAAAAAATGTGAGTCAATTTAAAGACACAGGCTGGGCGCAGTGGCTCATGCCTGTAATCCCAGCACTTTGGGAGGCTGGGCAGGAAGATCACTTGAGGTCAGGAGTTTGAAACCAGCCTGGCCAACATGGTGAAACCCCATCTCTACTAAAAATACAAAAACTAGCCGGGCGTGGTGGTGTGCACCTGTAATCCCAGCTACTCGGGAGGCTGAGGCAGGAGGATCACTTTAACCCGGGAAGCGGAGGTTACAGTGAGTCAAGATTGTGCCACTGCACTCCAGCCTGGGCAACGAGGTGAGACTCCATCTCAAAAAAAAGAGACGCATATTAAATAATATTAAATACTAAGTAAATAGTTAAAAATAAAATGATTATATAAAAATATTAAATTATAGTAAATATTAAATAAATAACAGCCCAGGGATAAGAGGCCACATCCAACTCCTTGAGGGTAGTGAGATGAGCGAATGGTGGATACTCGTCAGCCTCTGCTCCCTTCCACTGCAGAAACCTCACTGTCATGTTCTCCCTTTTGCTATAGACTCTCCCAGTTTCAGATGCTTCATCTGTGAAGTAAGAGATTTGAGCTAAGCCTCTAGGGTACCTTCCAGATCTACTAGACAGTACTTCACTGATCCTCTGAGACTTAGTAATGGAAGTCAGTGGGAAAATGAAATTCAATTTTTATTTAATATTTTTCAGGAATCCTTTTTTTCTTATATAAAACAAGATACATCTTTATGGATGCTATCATTGTTTATCCACTGCAGAAGTTTCACGGAGAAAAGAGAATACACAAATCACCACAAAGCTTTCTGCTGCACACCACTTTCAGTGTCTTAAATCTAACTTCTTCATTTCTCCATTTTTTTGCCAAATTCTACTCGAATACCTTTTATGCTTGAGACACTGGCATTGCTGAGTTAGCCTGATTCTGTCTTCCCCTTGCCCATTCCTTGAGATGCAGTCCTCGGCAGTAATCTTTTGGCCGTGACGTCCACCGTGGGTTCCCCTGGGCCTTCCAAAGGCACTCATAGCAGTTCTCAGCCATGCCCTCTGAGAATTAGAAGCCCATTGAGATCAGAAAGTTATTATTAAGGAGGGAAACATACCTTTGTGATAATGCTAGAGGCTATTTCAGGCAAGAGAGCTGAAAACCTAAGCCAGACTTTCTGATTGTTGATGCCAAGGAAACTCAAAAGCAAAAAAAAAAAAAAAAAAAAAAAAAAAAAAAAAAAAACCCTCTCTCTTTCATCTAACAAGCCCCTAGGAAAGATGCTCCTTGTAATGGCTGTCAAAGAAGTTAGCCTGCTGTCAGCAAGAGGTCTCTGTCTTTCAACATTACTAATTCCTTCACCACACAAGTACCTATTTTGTGCAAGACCCTGTTTTGTGCATTGGGAACACACAGTAAACAGGGTGTCCTTGACACCTGCCCATCTGGAAATTATATCTCATGAAGCCCCAGCCATAGGCGAAAAGAGACAATGCAGTGACCTCATAGGCTCTGACCTGCCTCTGTATCTCCTACCAATTATCTCCCATTTGTTCAGATTTGAACATCTAGATCTTGCCTTATCCATAAGGCTTGAATGTCTAATGTCCAGCAGGCAGGGCTGGGTCTGGCTCTTAGGTCAGTCATTAGCTCAGGCCTAGAATGATATCTTCCTAGTTACATTTTAACTAACTTTTAAGGCTCAACCCAAGTTAAGCCATTTCTGTGAACTACTCTGTACTAGAAGCCCTAAGAAAGCCTGTTCTTCCTCAGTTCCACAGACACAGGTCTGGCCCATGCCTTTTACCTGAGCAGCAAAGCTGACGTCTGTAAGCCTGTTCTTTGGAGACAGATGAATGGACTAGGATGGGCACCAGATTCAAAGGCAACCTGTCTCTAGGCTGGCCAGATGGCTAATGCGATGGTCTTGGTTTGGGAGATTTGTCTAAAGGAGCAAAGGGGCCATGTGATTTCAGTGGGCCAGTCGAATCTTGATAAGGGGCTCATCATGCTGTCAGTAGTGGCAGCAGATATGGGCACAGGGGCACACGTGTGCACACACACACATACACACATATGGCTGAATCATGGGAGTGGCAGAACCACTGGCAAGAAGACAAAGAATCCTGTTGTTGAGGGGCACAAACTATCCCTGACTCCTGAATGGCTTAGATCCCTAGACTCTGAGCTTCCTATTTGTCATGGTGCCCTGGGAGGAGGCTCTTGTGCTTAAGGCATCCTGAGCTTGTGTTCTTCTCAAAGGGCTGAAATAAGACATTCCTCCTTGTCCTTCAGCCTCACCCCTTCCCTCTCATCACCCTCTTTCACAGGCTATTTCTTGCCTCTCTGAGTTGGAACCCAATGGAATCCTTGATTCTTAGCTTCTTAAGGGCGAGGGCAAGACTTCATAGAGTTTTACTGCAGGCCCAGCCCTGTGCCAGGTGGCAAGAGGGAAAAGAAGGGAGGGAAGATGTCCCACCCCAGCCCTCAGGGAGCTTCCACCCTGGCAGATTATTATTATTATTGTTATTAATTTGAGATGAAGTCTCACTCTGTTGTCCAGGCTGGAGTTCAGTGGCGTGATCTCAGCTCACTGCAAACTCCACTTCCCAGATTCAAGCGATTCTCCTGCCTTAGCCTCCTGAGTAGCTGGGATTATAGGCGCCCTCCACCACACCTGGCTAATTTTTTTGTATTTTTAGTAGAGATGAGGTCTCACAATGTTGGCCAGGTCGGTGTTGAACTCCTGACTTCAAGTAATCTGCCCGTCTTGGCCTCCCAAAGTGCTGGGATTACAGGTATGAGCCACCGCACCCGGCCCACTCTGGAAGATGATAAAGCCTGTGAGCAGCAGCTTGCTAACTCTCCAAGCAGTGTGTGACTGCCCACAACAGGGTGAATTTGGAGTAAGGCTCAGCAGCAGCCCCGCGCACTGGGGGTGGGAATGTGGGGCTGGATGGAAAGGAATGCGAAGGTCCTCCAGTAACTGAGAACAGCAGGAGCAGACCCGAGGAACAGGATGTGGCTGGGCAAGGGGGCCAGGAAGGAGAGTCCAAATGGGGTGTAGGGGCTGGGAGGTCCTGCCCACTTCAGTCCTTACCCTGCCATTAAATCTGGGGCAGCAGCAAAATAGGTGTCCCAGCCACTCTGCCCTCTCAGTCACCTCATCAGGCACAAAGTGCCCAGGATTAAAAAAGAAAGAAAGAAAAAAAGAAAGGAAAGGAAAGACCTCATTATATGGTTGGAAATCCTCATACCAGAGATAAAATTTTACGAGTTGCCTATTGCTCAGCACCCCGTATTTTTGACATTCCCTGTTTCACATACAGTATTTTAAACACATGAGATACAGACATTACTGTTTTTTTTAAATTTTTTTTTTTTTTACTCTTTTCATTTTTTTTCTTTCTGTCATGGCTTAGTGGGTAGCTCTGAAGTTTTTAATACTGAAGGGCCCATTTCATGTTATTTATTACCCTGCTTGCATGAAAGCTGAGGACTATAAATCGTCAACACAGGCCGTCTAATTCCAGCAACAGCAAGGTTTCGTCACATGTAATTAAAAGATCCCAAAGCCATTGGAATGTAATGGATTTGGAAATGACACCATGGGGGCAAGGGGAACAGGCCCAGGAAGAGGCAGCCGTATTTCAAAGGCTCTCCTGCATGGTCTGGGATCGATGGGGCTGCCTGCCTGGGCTCCATGGGGTTGCCTGGCTGGGCTCCAGCAGAGCTGGCTGACATGGGGCTAGAGGCAGGGTCTGGATTTGATCTGATCCTCAGCTCTAAGACCAGGCCCTTGCAAGTCCCACCTCCATGGAGGGGCAGTGACCTTTGAACTCACAAACTCCATTGGCCTGGCCTGTCCAGGCAGCCATCTGTGATGGCAGTGAGCATCCTCTGTCCTGGCAGGTGGGTTTCTAGAAGCATGGAAGTAACATAGTCTTACAGATAGACATAACCTAAGCCCAGGGTAGGGGAGAAGATCTTGGTGTTCATCTTCCTCACAAGTACAATAATCCTTTTATTCTTGCCCAACTTTCTTCCAGAAGCCATCACTTTAGCAACCTCATGCTCTGTCTGAAGATTCCCACCTGAATCCCTGCATCCACCTAGAGTCCATTGCTCTTTCCTCTGGGCTCCCAGAGGACCTCGACTCTCCAGTTTTTGGAACATTATAGTGCTGGGTGTGGTTATTTTTTTACTTGACTGCTTCTCTATCCCCATGGGCTTCTCATGAGCAAGGAATGTGTTTAAGTCTTCTCTGACCTTTATAGGCTTTACACAGGCCTGCCATATAGTATGTGATCAGCAAAGCTGTGGCAGGAAGGAAGGGATGCAAGATAAATAGGGGAAAGGAAAGAAAGCAAAAAAGGACAAAAGGAAGGAAGGAAGGAAAGAAAGCAAGCAAAAAAAAAAAAAAAAAAAAAGGGAAGGGGGAGAAGGACCTTTGGTCATTTCTTCTCATCTCATGGCAATAATATGATGACCAGAATCAGACTTCAAGATTGCCCTCAGTGGTCCCTGCTGGTATTCAGTTTCCTGCCCTTCCCATATTGTAGCAGGGTTGATGTGTGTGACTAATAGCATATGGCAGAGTGATGGTATGTCAATTCTGAGATTAGGTTATAAAAAAGACTGTGGCTTCTGTCTTCTTCCCTCTTTCTTTGTTGAGTCACTCACTCTGGAGGAAGCAAGCTGTTATGTTGTGTCAGCAGTCCTACGGGGAAGCCCACAGGGGAACTGAAGCCTGGGGCCAGCAGCCAGTCAGGAACTGAGGCCTGCCAACAACCAGGTGATGAGATTAGGAGTGGATTCTCCAGTCCCAGTCGAGCCTTGAAATGACCGTGGCCTTGGATAATAGCTTAACTGAAACCTCACGAAAGACTCTAAGCCAGAGCCAGCAAAAGCAAGGTTTTGTCCCATGTAATTAAAAGATCCCAAAGCCATTGGAATGTAGTGGGTTTGGAAATGACACCATGGGGGCAAGGGGAACAGGCCCAGGAAGAGGCAACCATATTTCAAAGGCTCTCCTGCATCTTCTGGGATCAATGAGGCTGCCTGGCTGGGTTCCAGCAGGGTTGGCTGACATGGAGATAGAGGCAGGGTCTGGATTTGATCTGATTCTCAGCTCTGAGATGAGGCCCTTGCAAGTCCCACCTGCATGGAAGGGCACTGAGCTTTTGAACTCACAAACTCCATTGGCAAACCCAGCTAGGCTTCTCCCTCATTCCTGACCTCAGAAACTGTGTGAGCAAATGAGTGTTACTTTAGGTTTCTAAGTCTGGGAGTAATGTATTATGCAGTGATAAATGACTCCTACAAACACCATCTATTTGTTGATGGCACCACATTTTTATTTCCAACCCAGACCTCTCTGCTGAACTCCAGAACTGTATATCCCACTGTCTCCTTTACATCTCCTTCCTTTACTCCAAAACTCAACTCCTGGTCAATCTCCCAACCTGCTGCTCCATAGATTTCCCCATTGCAGTTAGGGGCAACTCTTATCTGGATGCTTGCTACCAGCTTCCATCTGCTTCTTGCTTCCTTCAGTGGCCAATGCGGTCTATTCTATACCCAGCAGCCAATGATCCCAACCAAATGTAGGTCAAATCATGACACTCCTCTGAACAAAATTCACCAATGGCTTCCTCATTTCACAGAAAAAAGGCTACGGTCCTTAAATATCCTACAAAGCTGTCTTCTGTTCCTCTCTGACCTCACCTCCTACCTCTCTCCCCACTTGCTCACTTCCCAGGGAACACACTGGCCATTTTGCTGCCAGCACACTGCCACTTTAGGGCTTTGTGCTGGCTCTGTTCCCTGTCCAGGACTCTCCTCCCCAGTTACCTGCATGGCTCACTCCCTCGCCTTCTTCACGTCTTTGTCAAAAGTCAACCTGAAGTCTATCTTGATAGCTCAACCCCCAGAACTCCCAGACTTCATTACTCTGCTTTCTTTTTTGTCTCCTTTTACATAGCACTAAAATCTTCAAAATTATTCTATGATTTATTTATTATGTTTCTTACTTATTTGCCCATCTCTGCTGGTATGTAAGCAGCTCCTGAGAGCAGGTATTTTGTTGTTGTTGCTTTTGTGTCTATTTTATTCATTGGTATATCTTCAGCACCTAGAAGAGAATACCTAGGACAATGTGCCTGGCAAATAATGGTGGTCTATAAATATTTGTTGAAGGAAGGAAGGAAGGAAGGGAGGGAGGGAGGGAGGGAGGGAGGGAGGGAGGGAGGGAGGGAGGGGAGAGAGGGGGACGAACCACCCGATGAGAGCTCTTGCACTGTGGTCTGAATGATTGTTTAGCAAATGCAGTTCTCCTGGCTAGACCACAAGGTCCTTGAAGGCCTGCAAGGATGCCCACCCAGGACACCCAGCATTCAGGACAGGCCCTGCTGAGACCAGCTTCAGGGAATGTCTTTGATTGATTTGCTTTTGGCAGCCCAGGAGGCTCCCAGTTTCATTGCCCTTACAATGTGACAAATCTGGATATTTTTACCTCCTTGGGTCTTTGCTGCCATTCATATGCAGCTTTTTTTGCTTTGTCATGGGTTGAATTGTGCCCCCCAAAAGATATGTTTAAGTCCCAACCCCCAATACCTGAGAATGTGACTTTACTTGGCAATGGATTGTTGTGGACGTCATTATCTAAATTAAGATGAGATCATACTGGAGAAGAGCGGCTCTTAATCTGACATGAATGGTGTCCTCTGGAGAAGAAGAGACACACACAGAGAAGGCCATGTGAAGACAGAGGCAGAGGTTAGAGTGATGCATCCACAAGCCAACAGACACCAAGGACTGCCGGCCATCAGCAGAAGCCAGACAGAGGCATGGAATGGGTTCTCCCGCACAGTCCTCAGAAGGAGCCAACTTTGCCAACACCTTGATTTCAGACTTCTAGCTTCCCAAACTGTGAAAGGATAAATTTCTGTTGTTTTAAGCCACCTAGTTTGTGGAACTTTGTTAATGTCAGAGTACCCAGGTACTGGGAAATTAATACACATTTTATGCTTTCTTGTTCAAGCCCACCCCACTCTTGTCTCAGAGCCATCTCTCAGCATTAACAGATTGCTGGACACCACCTCAGGGCACAACCACCATGCTCTCCAGACTGTTTTCTCTCACATAGGCAATACAATACCTCCTCCAAGAAGCCCTCCTGGACAATAAGAAGGAAAAAGGAAGTCAATGTTCTTCATATCCCTGTATTTTTAGGTTAAAACTCTAGAACATCTGGCTTTTTTATTCACAGTTGATGTGCATCCTATTGGCTTAAGATGTTGACAGTCCATCTCATCTATTTATCTTTACTTGCTCATTCATTGCCATGTTGTTCCTTTGATTAAATGTCCTTAGGGCAAGAAACAGATCTGTCTTCTTCATTGCCTATAGTTCCAAGTCCAACTATGGCAGAGGAGAGGCACTAGGGCTAGGGGATAAAGACTGTTTAGTAAGTAGGGATCTGGTTCACTTCTTTCCTTTTCCTATTTTACAAATGAGGAAACTGAGGCTCAGGCAGAAAAAGTGACCCCGAAAGATTAAGAACCATGAAGCTTTTTCATTTTGTGTCCATGCAAGAGTGCGAACATCAGGCCTTTTGCTCACTCAAACAGTTGGAAACATACTCCTAGTCACTTGCACAGTCTCTGCTAACTCTGGACTCAGAGCTAGGTTCAATCCCAGCCCCATTATTCCTTCTTTGCACAATCTTAGACAAGTTATTCAACCTCCCTGAGCCTCAGCTTCCTCATCTGTAAGATGAGGATGGAAATATATATCTCACGGGATGGTCGGAACAATTCAATAAGAACGCTACGGAGTAACGGAGACTGTGTACTGCAGAAGCTCAGTGAACCTTCATTCCTTAACTTTTATTCTGATCACATAAACTCCAGACAGAAAAAGGTAGAAACCAATTACGCTTCCAACAAACTCTTTCTATTTGTCACATTCAGCTCAAGTTGGAAAAGTTGTCAGAAATGATGGAGGTACGTAAAATAATCTCCTCCAGCTTTGTCATTAATAGCAAGTGTTATGTAGTGCTAACAAGCTCCTTCCCCGGCAAATGAAGGGCAGTGATACTCACCAGACGCGACTGACTAGAAAAAGACAATGGGAATCTGACGTTTTGGAAAGATCTCCAAACATCAGAGCACAAACAGAAAGAGCTTTTTGGTTGCCTCTTCACAAAGGATCAGGTATCACAGCAGATGGGAAAGTGGGCAAGAATTACAGACATCCACCAGACCTTAGGTCTCATTAACCAGCTAATTCATTTAACCAGAATGCCTCATTTCCTGAGAATTCCAGTAAATTGAGATTTTACAGTATGTTAATGTTTGCAGGTTGTATTTTTCTTCCCATCAGTGACTACAAAGATGCCCTGTGGTGCAGTCAATGGCACATAGGGCTGAAAATAATCTACCATTAACTGATCCATGAACTAGTTAGTTCTCCTCTGTGATCTCAGGGTCACCTTTCATCTAATGCATGGTTGGAATAATGATCTCTGAGGTTCCTCGGTTTATAATTTTATATACTCTTGCTCTATTTTCAACCCTTTGCCTATGTCCCATATCCTCCACGAAGGCTCAACTTGTCCCTTGCTTGACCTTGAGTGAGCATCTGTAAAATGTGAGATTTGGACCAGATGAACTCTAAAGTTTCCGACATGCTATTGTTTCAAGGGTCTACATTGTTATTATTATTATTATTCATTAGAGGATTAAATTTACGAGGCCTTGATCTCAAGTGTTTCTGGTGAAATAAAATGAAGAAGCTCAGAGGCCTGCTTACACAGTATAGTAGAAAAACCACTGAGCTGGTTTTAGCTCTTTTTCAGCTGCTAACCAGCTTTGCTGTCCCAGGCATGTCGCGTCTGTACCTCTCTGGGGTTTTTTTCCTTTTGACTATAAATTTAGGTGCTTGAGAGTTAGTCTTTGTGTGTTTCTAGCTCCCTGTTTCTAAGACTTGCCACTCCACTGTAGAATCATCCCTCCAACCTCAGTGAAGGCTTGTAAGGAAATGCTCTGCAGTGATGAGGAGGGGAAAGTGAAATTCGTGGAGGGAATGCATGTGAAATGAACCCTTTAGGTCTCTCCCACGTCCAAAATTGCAGCTTTGCTTCCTCACACTCAAAGCACCTTCCCAAGCAAAATCACGATTTTACCATACCTCTCTGTTCCCTAGATGGGAAGCACAAAAGCTTAAGAACTGGGACAGCTCAAAAACCTAAACCCTAAACAAGGTTTTTTGTTTGTTTGTTTGTTTGTTTTTCTTCTTTCTACATTCTTCGTGATTTGGGTTCTTGGGCCTGGAATGTTTGGCTTTATTAAAACTACTGAGCCAGATTTAGTCATTAGAAAAGGTGATACCAGAATCTCTGGGACACATTCAAAGCAGTGTGTAGAGGGACATTTATAGCACTAAATGCCCACAAGAGAAAGCAGGAAAGATCTAAAACTAACACCCTAACATCACAATTAAAAGAACTAGAGAAGCAAGAGCAAACACATTCAAAAGCTAGCAGAAGGCAAGAAATAACTAAGATCAGAGCAGAACTGAAGGAAATAGAGACACAAAAAACCCTTCAAAAAATCAATTAATCCAGGAGCTGGTTTTGTGAAAAGATCAGCAAAATTGATAGACCACTAGCAAGACTAATAAAGAAGAAAAGAGAGAAGAATCAAATAGACGCAATAAAAAATGACAAAGGGGATATCACCACCGATCCCACAGAAATACAAACTACCATCAGAGAATACTATAAACACCTCTATGCAAATCAACTTGAAAATCTAGAAGAAATGGATAAATTCCTCGACACACACACTCTCCCAAGACTAAACCAGGAAGAAGTTGAATCTCTGAATAGGCCAATAACAGGCTCTGAAATTGAGGCAATAATTAATAGCTTACCAACCAAAAAAAGTCCAGGACCAGATGGATTCACAGCCGAATTCTACCAGAGGTACAAGGAGGAGCTGGTACCATTCCTTCTGAAACTACTCCAATCAATAGAAAAAGAGGGAATCCTCCCTAACTCATTTTATGAGGCCAGCTTCATCCTGATACCAAAGCTTGGCAGAGACACAACCAAAAAAGAGAATTTTAGACCAATATCCTTGATAAACATTGATGCAAAAATCCTCAATAAAATACTGGCAAACCGAATCCAGCAGCACATCAAAAAGCTTATCCACCATGATCAAGTGGGCTTCATCCCTGGGATGCAAGGCTGGTTCAACATACGCAAATCAATAAACGTAATCCAGCATATAAACAGAACCAAAGACAAAAACCACATGATTATCTCAATAGATGCAGAAAAGGCCTTTGACAAAATTCAACAACCCTTCATGCTAAAAACTCTCAATAAATTAGGTATTGATGGTACGTATCTCAAAATAATATGAGCTATCTATGACAAACCCACAGCCAATATCATACTGAATGGACAAAAACTGGAAGCATTCCCTTTGAAAACTAGCAGAAGACAGGGATGCTCTCTCTCACCACTCCTATTCAACATAGTGTTGGAAGTTCTGGCCAGGGCAATCAGGCAGGAGAAGGAAATAAAGGGTATTCAATTAGGAAAAGAGGAAGTCAAATTGTCCCTGTTTGCAGATGACATGATTGTATATCTAGAAAACCCCACTGTCTCAGCCCAAAATCTCCTTAAGCTGATAAGCAACTTCAGCAAAGTCTCAGGATACAAAATCAATGTGCAAAAATCACAAGCATTCTTATACACCAATAACAGACAAACAGCCAAATCATGAGTGAACTCCCATTCACAATTGCTTCAAAGAGAATAAAATACCTAGGAATCCAACTTACAAGGGATGTGAAGGACCTCTTCAAGGAGAACTACAAACCAGTGCTCAATGAAATCAAAGAGGATACAAACAAATGGAAGAACATTCCATGCTCATTGGTAGGAAGAGTCAATATTGTGAAAATGGCCATACTGCCCAAGGTAATTTATAGATTCAATGCCATCCCCATCAAGCTACCAATGACTTTCTTCACAGAATTGGAAAAAACTACTTTAAAGTTCGTATGGAACCAAAAAAGAGCCCGCACTGCCAAGTCAATCCTAAGAAAAAAGAACAAAGCTGGAGGCATCATGCTACCTGACTTCAAACTATACTACAAAGCTACAGTAACAAAAACAGCATGGTACTCCTACCAAAACAGAGATATAGACCAATGGAACAGAACAGAGACCTCAGAAATAATGCCGCATATCTACAACTATCTGATCTTTGACAAACCTGACAAAAAGAAGAAATGGGGAAAGGATTCCCTATTTAATAAATGGTGCTGGGAAAACTGGCTAGCCATATGTAGAAAGCTGAAACTGGATCCCTTCCTTACACCTTATACAAAAAGTAATTCAAGATGGATTAAAGACTTACATGTTAGACCTAAAACCATAAAAACCCTAGAAGAAAACCTAGGCATTACCATTCAGGACATAGGCATGGGCAAGGACTTCATGTCTAAAACACCAAAAGCAATGGCAACAAAAGCCAAAATTGACAAATGGGATCTCATTAAACTAAAGAGCTTCTGTACAGCAAAAGAAACCACCATCAGAGTGAACAGGCAACCTACAGAATGGGAGAAAATGTTTGCAACCTACTCATCTGACAAAGGACTAATATCCAGAATCTACAATGAACTCAAACAGATTTACAAGAAAAAAACAAACAATCCCATCAAAAAGTGGGTGAAGGATATGAACAGACCCTTCTCAAAAGAAGACATTTATGCAGCCAAAAAACACATGAAAAAATGTTCATCATCACTGGCCATCAGAGAAATGCAAATCAAAACCACAATGAGACACCATCTCACACCAGTTAGAATGGCGATCATTAAAAAGTCAGGAAACAACAGGTGCTGGAGAGGATGTGGAGAAATAGGAACACTTTTACACTGTTGGTGGGACTGTAAACTAGTTCAACCATTGTGGAAGTCAGTGTGGCGATTCCTCAGGGATCTAGAACTAGAAATGCCATTTGACCCAGCCATCCCATTACTGGGTATATACCCAAAGGATTATAAATCACACTGCTATAAAGACACATGCACACGTATGTTTATTGTGACACTATTCACAATAGCAAAGACTTGGAACCAACCCAAATGTCCAACAATGATAGACTGGATTAAGAAAATGTGGCACATATACACCATGGAATACTATGCAGCCATAAAAAATGATGAGTTCATGTCCTTTGTAGGGACATGGATGAAGCTAGAAACCATCATTCTCAGCAAACTATCGCAAGGACAAAAAACCAAACACCGCATGTTCTCACTCATAGGTGGGAACTGAACAATGAGAACACATGGACATAGGAAGGGGAACATCACACACCAGGGACTGTTGTGGGGTGGGGGGAGTGGGGAGGGATAGCATTAGGAGATATACCTAATGCTAAATGACGAGTTAATGGGTTCAGCACACCAACATGGCACATGTATACATATGTAACAAACCTGCATGTTGTGCACATGTACCCTAAAACTTAAAGTATAATAATAATAAAAAAATAGAAAAGGTGGCAGACAGAATTTTTTCAATAACTAAAGCTCATGTACCTTCTCTTCTTAGGCTCTCAAGCAGCACTTTATTGGCCATTGTTTGACACACATTTCTAACATATTTAGACATAGATGGTTCCCAAGACTTACAGAAGACTAGATATGGAGAACCTGAATAGCAAGTGGGTTATGAGAGGTGCTGGCATTAGGAAGAAATGAAGCTGATAGTATGAGATATAAAAGAAAACCTGTCTAGATTCAACACAAAAACACAGAAATACAAGGATATTTCTATGTTTTTGTAGATTTAGTAGTCTATGATATTTTTGTCTTATTTAATAATGAGTTATGGAGAAGAGCCTTCATTTCATTTTAGCATTTGCTTTATAGGAAAGTAAGGAGGAAATAATCTCTGTCAGGAGAATTGACAACAAACATCAGCCAAATTTTTTAAAAAGGTTATTGTTAATGAGATTCGCTTGAGCACAGGAACCTTGATTTGTATTCAACGTCCCAAGTACCTAGCACAATGCTTAGCACACAGTGAATACTCAATAAACACTTCATGAATGAAAGAAAAGAAGGGTTGTTTGAATGGCTGTGTTTTTTAATTTCTAGGAAATTCACTTGTATACCATATCATGTTTCCTAACGAGTCCTTGAACAAAAATTTGTATGGGACACCTACCAACTAAGCAGGCAAGGTCCTCTTTCTCAGAGAATGATGCTGGTTCAATGAGAGCTTCTTGTAGGAGTAGATGTGAACCATCTTGGTGCCTGGCTTGGAAGCCTGAGAATACGTTAGGAGTCTGGCACTCTTTTATGCCTATTTTGAGGAATTGAAGGCTGTAGGAAACTCCATTCCAGACACTTTTACTTTAAACTGTCACATACAAGATAGCCCCCCACCAAAGGGCTTCAGAGATGGAATTCCATGCAGGAATGGTGTGCTAAAGAGAACATGTGAAGTGACCATGTGACCCCATTCTCCTAGGCCTTGAGTTCTTAAGTCAAAACTCCTTTTCTCTTGCTGACCGAGATACTTCAATTCAACCCTAAGTCTTGGGCCTCAATGTAACAGGACTAAAGATCGAAAGGCAGAGGGTGGAAAAAACTGGGGATTGAAATTTGAGTTAAACTTTACAAACTCAATCCATTTATATTCATTGATGGCCCATATGCGCTCGGCATAATATGCAGAGATCTTTAATAGGACAGTGCCAAAGAAATGGAAGACATAATTTTTTTTTCTTATGGAAAACCATCTAGGTGAGGAGGAAGTACCAGGTTGTAGGAACCACAACTTCTGTCTCTTGGATTCCCTCCAGTCCACATGATTTTTCATATAGGGTTTCATATGCAGTACCTCAGTCAGTATATGGCCAGACAACCAATTGGAAAGTAGACCACAGTGAGATGTCTGCTTTTTAAAACAGTATTTTTTCTGCACAAGGTTAAATAGCTGTTTTGACTGTGTTAATTTTCTCACCAATAATTTTGTTTTCTCACCAATAATTTGTTATTGCTGCCTAACCAACAGCCCCAAACTACGTTTTTCTCATGATTCTGCAAGTCAGCAATTTGAGCAGGGCTCTTGGCTGGGAGGCTCTTTTGTTCCCTCAGGTCACTTAGCTGCATTCAGCTGATGGTAGGGCTGGAAGGTGTCTTGATTTTACTCCATGTGGCCTCTCTTTCTCCATGTGGCATCTGACCCCTCAGAAGTCTAGCCTATGCTTCTTTATAGCCGCTGGCTTCCCCAGAAAGCAGAAAAGTGGAAGCTTCTAGTCTAAACTTGAAATTGGCACAGTGCCATGTTTACCATACATAGTTTATTGGTCAAACAAAGTCATGAGGCCAGCCCCAGAGTGGGTGAACTAGCCTCTGCTTCTTGATGATAGGAGCACATAGGGAAAGGAAGAATTGATAGCAGCCATCCTTGGGTGCTATCTAGCACAGATTTAACTTTTTTTCAATTAACTGAATAGATTTTGAGACTCTAAGTAACTTGAGTGCCAGGATCAGGGCTTGTTCATCTGTGTATCTCCACCATCTTCCATAGTTCTGGTTCAGATGGAACCTATCAGGGTTTGACTGAGCCGAGTGTGTGTGTGTGTGTGTGTGTGTGTGTGTTTTAATTCGGGGGGAGGTGGAAAAATGGGGTTCCTATTGGCTGCATAATTAATTCATGAAGTAAACTGAAATAAAGAACAACTATTTGTGATTTATGACCCTGTGGGGTGAGTGCCCCTGGACAGCATGGATGTTCGAAGGTCTTTAGTCCAGGTAAAGTGACAGGTAGGATCCTGAGATGTCAGGATGTCAGTGAGTCTTTTTCTACATCAATTTTGAAGTCAGATTTGAAACTACAGGAATGATATTGAAAGATTAATGGCAGCTTTAAATATCCACCTCCCTGTATAAATCTAGAACGATGTTATGCCCTCCAGATAAAAAGGGATACCTCTTGGGAGTAATTTCTGATATGTTTTTGAAATCTTCGCATATAGACACCCCCCCCCCCCCCCGCACACACACACACAGGTGTTGTGAACAGTTGTAACTTTGGTCAAAAGAGTAAGTGCGGCCTGAAACCAAACCTGTTCCACAAGTTAGCATGGGGCTGCATCTGCCTGGAGGGAGGAGGAAATAATTCCCACATGGATGTCATAAGGGCCTTTTAGCCTAATGGTGGCCCTATGGGCACACACATGCATTTACACACATGTACACACACAGAGTTTTCTGCCCTTGATTACAGGACGATGCTCCCAGGAGGCAGTGTCAAGACTTCACATCAATAAGGTCTTTTTTTCTTGGAAAGAGCTGTTGATTTGGTCACAAGAATAGCTTTCTAGGAGAGAAATTGTGCATAGTAGACAAGAGTTATGAACTGTAATCATTCACATTTGTATGTCCATTTATAGATTTGTAAAGCACTTAAAAATATATCATTGCATTTAATCCTCACAATTCTATGACTTAGATACTGAACTTTACAGTTGAGAAAAATAGACTTAGAACAAACGATTTGCCTAATGGACATGGCTGCTATAAGTATCCAGGCTAGAACTTAACCTGAGACTTTGGACTCCAAATGCCACATCCTTCCCATATCATGAGTCTGTAGAAAAGACTTGAATGTATTTATTTTCTCTAAATGTTGTCTTTCTTTTTGCAAAAAGTTGAATAGGTTAAGGCATAAGTTGAGTAATTTATGTAATTCTATTGCTATTGCTAACTTTAAGGGAAGCCTGTCTTCTTGCTTTTATCTTAAGCTGTTTTCTCTAACACCATCAACATCATCTATAATAAATGAGACATCTAAAGGGGTGTGAGTTAAGATTTTTGAGATAAAAAATGGGATCATAAAGGCAACTTTACTCCTAATCATCTCAAGTCTTGGATTTGTTAGCGTCATCTCGGGAGCTGAGAGGTGCCACCTAAGGGCTCAGGATTCTATTGCTCAACAGAACCTTGATAAATCTGCCATCCCAACGCTTCTCATCAGAACAGGGAGCACCTAAATTCTCCAGGACAGACAGCCAAACTTCCTTTTCTTGGAAGATTCTTGGGAACAGATACTGGAAGATCTTAGCTCTGTCATTGACCAGCTATGTGACTTTTGGGCAAGTCATGCCCCTCTCTGGGCCTTACTTTTCTGGTCTAAAAAATGAAGGTTTTGGTAGATTACATCTAAGATCCTTGTAGGTCTGACATTTTTTGTTTATAGCCTTCCATTATTATCCATCCAATGTCCCTTATTCTGATTTTCAAGAATCTTCTTCCTGTCTGATTCCTCCTTCCATGATTAAGTTTTCTCTATTCATGCTCTTTGTGGGGTCATGGTGAATTTCTTAGCAACTCCCTCCTTGTCCATAAATTTCCTGATCCAGACTATTAGAAAAGAACCCACCCTACTTTGCCTGGCTCAGGCCTTACAATCTTGTTCCATTCTGCTTGTCCACAATGTATTTCCCCTTCCTCTTCCCCACGAACTTTCTGTTCCAGCTAAGTCAGAATTCTACCCATCTTCCCCCTCTATATGACTCAGTTCTCTAATATTATACACCCTATGATCCCTCACTGACCTCTCAAGTTCACTCCAAAATCACTTCTTATCAGAAGCAATAGCTTGGCCCTACTGTTTTCCATTTACTGGATTTTCTGGTTAGTTTCTTTATCTTTCCAAGTAAATTACAAGCTACTTGACTCAGATATCCTGTGATTCTTTCTTCCATATCCATAGTGCCAAGCAGACTTAGTCTGGTGTTTTTGATTGGTAGGATGTCTGAAAGCACCAACCTATTGGTTAATGCCTTCAGAAAAGCCTGCCTCTCAGGCACCAGAATTAGGAATGAACATTTTGCTGCAGCCTCAAGGCATCCTGACAGTGACTTCTGGCCGTATCACACAAGGTTCTCTCAGATCATAGCAGCTAAGAGGATTTTTTATTACCTTCAGCTGGACAGGGAATTCCAGTGACTAAAAACCATGAGGGGTCACTGTTGGGAAGAGAATGGTTGTGCAAGCTAAGATACGCTGCACTAAAGACTTTCCCTGCATAACCCAGATACTTATAGCCACAATGTAAATTCATTTTCTCTGAAGCTATCCCTTATGTGGGGAACGTTCCAATACCTTACTGCCTTCTTTCTTTATTTAACCAAGTAAAATGATGCTTTTATTTACCATTTAGCACTTTTAAATTTTCTTGCCTTTTTGCTTACAAATACCCTTTGAGCTACTGAATTGATTTTGCTGAGATTTGTTACACTATGAAAGAGTCTGAAGATGCACCTGGAATTCCATCATGTCTCAGCAAACACCTAGAAACAAAATGGCCACCACCAACTACTTTAAAAACAGCACATCTCCTGCAAATTTGAATTTGTACAACTGTAAATGGGGAGTTGCTATTGCATTGTGACCCATTGTATGTTCTTGGGTCCCAGTTCATATGGACACAAACAGAAAATACACTCCTGCTCTTAGGAAGCATCATCTAAAATGTGATGATGATAACTCCTGGGCAGATCTACCAAATGCTAATTGGAATGCATTGAAAATAGTTAAGTTTGTGAGCATTTTGAAATCATCATGGGTGATATAAGCATATTTTTATCACTAGTGTTTAATAAAAGCCATTTCTGTGTCTGGGCCAAGGGCTTTGGCACATGTTCAGAACAAGTCAAAGGAGTTAATAACCAGTAATAAAGGGAAATGGAGCCAAGGCATATCTAAGCTGCATATCTCTAGGGATCTTGGAAGTGGTAGGAGACATTCTTCAAGACATGCATGGTGGATGCACCAGCAGCACTACAGTCATTCACTTCAAGCCTAATCCACTCAACCTTTCCCAAAAGAGGAGTCAGGGAGACAGAAGTCCAAGGATGGGCCCATGAAGTCTTGTTTCATTTGCTTAGTTTTATGATTAACTGCAAGATACTGCATTTGATTCATTACCAATAGCAGCCACATTAAAGAAAATACCCCAGGTAGGTCAGAGAGAAAATTTTTATAGGATGGACAAGGAGCTGAAGGGAGGAGAGTTTTGTGTGTGTGTGTGTGTGTGTGTCTATATGCAAAGATTTCAAAAACATCTTGGGAATTACCCCCAAGAGGTATCCTTTTTATCTGGAAGGCATAAGATTGTTCTAGATTTAAATAGGGAGGTGGATATTAAAAGCTGCCCATAAGCTTTCTATATTATCCCTGTAGTTTCAAATTTGACTTCAACATTTCATCTTGATAATAAGGAGATGCTTTAAGTCTCCTGAATTAGTCCTACCAGAAATCTCACCAAAGTTGGGAGAAAACTTTCCTTCAACTCCAAATGCTAGGGTGAGGAGAAAATGGGGCAGGAAAAAGGGCAGGGGCTGGTGGGGCCATGGTGCCTCTATCTCATTTTTCATATGGAGCAGCTGAGGCCAGATAAGGCAGGTGAGGCATTTAAGGGCTTAGCAGTTAGGTCTACACCTGTGTGTTTTCGTATACGGTCCTGTGTTCTTTCCATGAAGATTGTCACTTACCCATTTCTCTAAATGAGCCCTGAACTAAGAAGAATGAAATGCCAAAGTTTCATGTGTATGTGTCATCTGTTGGCCTTCTGATGTGGATATATAGGGCTGGATAGGGAACTATGTTCAGGGTACCTTGCCTACCATAGGTGATCAGGCTGCTCTGGGCTTCCTTGAGGCCAGTGTCCAACCCTTCCTCTCACCTCAGGTCCAGCTGGGCTGGTCCCACACCCCATTAAGGGCACATCCCTCTCACTGCCTTTGTCTTTTCTTTCTTGCATTCTATTCACACCCTACTGGGTCTTCAAGTCCCAGCTGAGTTGAATGCAGTGCAATGGGATTGAACAAGCATTTATTGAGGACCTCATCAGTACAAAACATTGGGTAGCCAGACACTTGTTGAGGTGTTGAGGGCACTAAGTGAATAAAATACACTCTCCATGCAAGGTTCAAGAGGAAAACAGGTCTGTAAACAGTCAAGTCTCACAGTCTAAGGCTGAGAATAGTAAAGAATAAGTAATAGTAGTAATAAGGATCACTTATTGAGCACCCACTAAGGACCAGGCTCCATCCAGGTGCTTTATACTTGTTACTGCCAATCCTTACAATAGCCAGGAAAGACAGGTATTAGAGGCAGCCCAGAGTATTCAGGTGAGCTCCAGTTTTGTGTCCAGTCCTGAGGTTCAATTCAACTCCGTACTTTACAAATTATGTGTCTTTGGGGCAACTTTCTTAATTTTTCTGCATCTCTCATTCTCTTATCTGAAAATGATGACAAAATCTTCTTCAAAGGACAGATGTGAGGGTTAAACAGTAAAAGGCACACAAACAGCCTAGTGTAGGGTAAGTTCTCAACAAATGTGGCCAGAGATCTGGACGACCTGGGAAAAGTGAAATAGTGCCCTTAAAGGAAGCCCTCAGTGGAGATCCAGGCAGTTGCTGTGTCAGAGCAAAGGCAGGTCTCAGGTGGGGAGGGTTACAGGCAGGATGTATCATTTGCACTGGGTCTCCAAAGACAGGGGAGATTTCGTGGGGTTAAAGAATGATAACTAGTGGCTGGGTGTGGTGGCTCACACCTGTAATCCCAGCACCTTGGGAGGCCAAGGCAGGCTGATCACGAGGTCAGGAGATCAAGACCATCTTGGCCAACATGGTGTAAACCCCGTGTTTACTTAAAAAAAAAAAAAAAAAAAAAGCTGGGTGTGGTTGTATGTGCCTGGAATCCCAGCTACTCAGGAGGCTGAGGCAGGACAATCGCTTGAGCTAGGGAGCCGGAGGTTGCAGTGAGCCGAGACTGCGCCACTGCACTCCAGCCTGGGTGACAGAGTGAGATTCCATCTCAAAACAAACAAACAAAGAAACAAAAAAAAAACCTGGTGATGGGAGTATAGATTGCTCCTGCCCTGGGCGACCTGTCTTTGTGATACTTATCCACATCTCAAGGTGTCTGGCTGGGTTATCCAGACTCAGCATAGGGGCTGGGGCTGGAGGAACTTTCTTGGCATTTCCCTCCTTTGTTTATTTAATCCTTTTCTCAAATTGAGTGTAAACTACAATTCTCACCAGCTGAGAAAGTGGAGAACCCCCACCCCACACCCCACCAGTGACCAGTGCAGACTACAGCTTGCCGTAGACCACTTATGGGGTCATGGTAAGACACTCTGCCCTCTCACCCATGACTTGGAGAGATCAGTTTTTTGGTTGCATGCGTGCCAAGCCATGGCATGCTCTGCGTTGGAACTTAGCAGAAATGGGAACCCCTGGCAACCCAGATGCTTAAACCAGGTGTCCTCAGCAAAATGGCCTCTGACTTCTATTGCCCAAGGCAACAGGGTATAGCTGGTTTGGTGATATGATTTTCTAATGATCCACATGTTAATAAGAATTGGGGAATCCAATGAGAGCCTGAGTAAAGTGAGCAAGCAAGCAAACAGAAATCTTCACGCAACAAACAACAACCACAATAACAAGCACACTGTACAAAATTCATGAATATTTGTGGTCTAAAATAAATGAATGAACATGAATGGAATTTCCTGAAGAAAGTGCTATTACCAAAACCATCATCTATTTTAGAGGTCGATGGAGAACTAGGCCTGTTTCCCGAGAACTGTCAGTGCAGAATTAAATGTGCTATGTGGCATTTCCATTCTGGGTAGTGAGTTATGTAGGATTGCTCCCGCCCTGAGCTCGGGGCCATCTCCAGCAGAATGAGAGGCAGGGACTGAGGGATGGTGCCGGGAAGCTGCCGCTCTGGGGATGGCAGGGCTCAAACTCTCCCAGGTCTGCAATGTCAAGGGTGCACCTTCCGGGGTTACCTTCTCGAGTTTATTACTGCAAGCTGGACATTTTCTCATGGGCTAATAGTGTTTATGCTTCTAGGGCTTAGCTGTTTTGGATAGCAAGGCTAAACATAAAAAAATGCCTCCTTTTCACAACACATCATACCCAGAACTTGACGCTGCCAACTTTCCTACAGCACTTTCTATTTCTTAAGGTGCTTTAACATGCATGCTCCCATTTGAAATCCACAGTAACCCCACGTGAAGGATGGTGATCTCCACTGATATGATGTGCAAACTGAAGGTCAGAAAGGCACATAACTGCCTTAGACTGCCTTAGATTGCCCAAGGGGCAAATAGTCCAGGCAGGATTAGAACATGAGTCTGCTGACTCCCAGTTCAGCACGCTTTCCTCCATGGCAAGCTGCCCTCAAATGAAACATAGCTCAAAGAGTAACGATGTCTAAGGCCAGTTACCCCATAGGCCTCTGGGAAAATACCTCTTACTTTCTGGATGAATATGCCCACTCACAATCAGCCACACCCCTTCCTGCCTCCCTCAGCTTGAGTCCCAGAATCACTTGGCTGTTTAGAACAAATGCATTTATGAGGGCCAGCTCCAGAGATTCTGATTCTGTGGGAACCTGCATTTTTGACACACTCACCAAGTGATTCTGATGCACATTAAATCTTGCGACTTGCTGGTTTATGGAATACAATGGATTTTAAAGGTCACTTGAGCCAGACATAATCTCATATGTAAATCTGTTTCCTCGAAAGGTAATTTTATTTAAAAAAGAAAAAAAATGAAAAAGGAAACAGGGTTACTTTCTGAAGGTCTTTTCCAAAGTTATACCTCATATCTAAATGTCCTCTCTCTTCTTTCTGGCTTCTCTCAATTTTCCAAGTCTTTTTTGTACCTTTCTTGTGTTACTCTCTCTGGTCCCTGAGCTGTATCCTGCTTATGGTACTATCCAGTTACTGAGTGTCTGTCTTGTGTGAGTCTCTATCCCTAACCCTGTGCACTCTTTCTGAGTTATGTATTCTGCATTCCCAGTAGTCCTTAGCACAATGCCAGAAACTGCAAGTATGCTTTGGCTGTAAGCTTGGAATGAGTCATTTAACCCTGTCGGACTCAGTGCCTAGCACAACTCTCCATCAGTAAGGATAATCAAGATGATGTAGAAGCAAAGCCCATCATCAAACTGGCATTGAGTCCCTATCAGGTTAAAGCCTCAACTAAGCTCTCAGAAATTCCCTTAAAAAATATGACTGTTGACAGGTCACTTGATGTAGAACTGAGGTGATGGGAGGTGCAGGTCATGTTTCCAGGCCATAGGTGGGCCTGTTGGATGGTCATAGACACTACTCTTGCCTGGGCCAGCTGTTAAGATTCTAGAGTATCTCAGAGGACCTGGTGGGAGGAGGAAGGCCCACCCATTCCCACTGCTGGGGAAGCACCCAATCACCAAGGCCCTGTCACCTGTGCAGACTTTCGGTCATAATAATAATCATGATCCTAACAGCTTGTATATGCCCTGGGCTTTGCCACTTAGTAAGCCTTTCCCTTATCTTCTCATGGTAACCCACAAATTAGATAGATTGTTCTCTCTGGTCTAGAGAGGAAGAAATAGATGTTCCCAGAGGTTGAGGTAACTGCCCTAGGTCACACAGCTAGATGTGTGAGAACCCACATTTTCTGATGCTGAAATTTCATGCTCTTTCCAGGACACCATGTTGCTTCTTGTCTCATGGGCCATACCTCCTTAGGATGGAAACTCCCAGAAAAACACTTCTCTATAAAGATCTAGCTCATTTGACATGCAAAGTTTATTCCATACATTTTAATCAAAAAGAACAGAAATAAATGCAACTTTAAATGCATTTAGTCCATCATTCAAAAGGTATTTATTTAGTGCTTAGTACCATGTAAAAGCCCAGTTGCGGGCACTGGGTCAGGGACAGGGGGACATAAGGTAAGGGTGTGTTTAAGGCATGCCCATGGACTCGCAGCCTGCACCACCCATTATCCTAAGTCTCCATCAGGTGATCTGCCAACAGTCACATGTAGCACACTCATATTCCTGAAAGGAATTTTTGAGATTTTAGTTGAGGCTTTATACCTGGTAGGGACTCAATATCTATTTGATGATGGGCTCTGCTTCTGCAAAAACCACATCTTGATTCTCTGCACTGAAGCAGGGAATAGTGCTAGGTACTGAGTCCAACATGGTTGAATGACTCATTCCAAGAATATGGCTAAAGCATCTTTTTAACTTTCTAAAGACATACCAAATATGGTTTCCACCCTCTACGTACTTCAACCAAATGGTACGTACAAGACATGCCCATTGGCCCAAAGAGATCTAAGCACACCACAGCTGTGATTTCTGGTGTGTGAAAGTGGCAGTAGCTGCTAGCTCCCATCCATGTATGCAAGGGCCTGCTAACACCCAGAGTAGCCTGATACCACTGCCAGGTAGTTGGTGGCACCAGCCTGTTAATTCCTAGTGTAGGAGTCCCATCTGATTCTGGTTTCCTTCAGAGACCTCCCCTTAGTGTAGAACCCAGAGCGATCTCACAAAGGGCTGCTAAACCACAGGCTCCAGGGGATGAGCAGATCCCGGAGTAACAGCACGGGTGGAATTTCTCTGAGCCTTTAGCTTAATTTCTTAAAATTATCAGACAGGAGATCTTTGGCTTAGCCCCTTTTTGATTGCCAAGTGCACAAGTTGGGGTTTATATGAGCTCTCTCCTCCTTCTTCGTGCTTACTCTGCCCCCTTTTTCCAATTAGTTCTCTGGCAGGGAATCTTCCTCAGCTAGCAGCTAACAGTAAATTATGTGTCTGGGATTCCCCCAGGGGTGAGTGAGTGAGGTGTATGTGTGTGTGCTCATGCTCACGCATGGGCATGGGGGTGCTGAAGTGGGAAAGGAGGATCCAAGTTCAAAACCAACACTGGAGACTCTGTGAATGGGCAGATAAAGAATAATTTCCCCTGAGGGTCATGCCTGGCCTTGGAGCATTCCATCTCCTACAAGAAGCAATCAAATGGAACTCTGCTTGATTCAGGGGTAGCTAATCTACCAGGGATATTTTTTTCCTTCCACACCCCACCTTGCCTTCTGTTGCCTTCATGGGTTTCTGTTCATTTATACATGGATTCAGTTGCTTGTTAGTGCGCTCTGCAGTGCTTCCCTAAGGATATAACTCTGCAGATGGACGACATTTTTTATTTTATTTTCTTAGTATTACTCTTGGCTTTTTGGAGGATTTTTTAAAATGATTATTCCTCCTGGTATTATTTTAGTTTCCAATTACAGTGTGGGTATACTCTAGCACACTGCTATTTTGTAAATGGATGTATATGCTTATTGTTAATTGATTCCCCAAACAGGCCACAAATGCTTGCATTTAGATTGTGTATTATATTACTTGCATGCCACCAGGCTGGCCCCTTGCCAGCTGGGGCTCTCAGCTTAACCAGAATCACAGTGGACACATCTCGTTTTCCCTGACACCTGTGCAAAACAGCTTGCTTGCCCTGGCCTTTGCTCTCCAGGGAGAAGGAGCTAAGGTGGCCCTCTGTTGAAGAGGTATCAGAAAACCTGAGGTCCTCCTGCTCTTTTTTTCTAAGAAAAGAATTAGAAAAAAAATTCAATTTTAGTCACCTAGATTATCCGTCTTTTTCTGAAAACACAGAGGAAGGGCCAACTCTGGTCTTTATCCCTATCAGTGGCCAAGTCCAGACACCAGCAGTTTGAGCCACTCCTCTGTAAAGCTTTTCCAGCGACCCCAGGCAAGTTAACAAGTCTCTTCCTCTGGGTTCTCTCTGACATGACTCAGCTCCAACAGTTATAGGGCTGTTTTACTTACTAATGTCTATTTCACCTCTGGACTGTGAACTTGGTTTGGGACCTTTGCTTTCCACCAGTGTCTATGCTGTACTTGACAGTTGGTAAATAGGCTGAATGAATGAATGAATGAATGAAGACAAATGCTATCATAGGGGAGTTAGATGGAGTTTGACACTGGGTACATGTAAACAATGGATGTGTAATTTTTAAAGAGGATCATTATTCATTCAAAAATCATAGTATTTAATGGTATGAAAGGTGAAGTGTGTCTCACTTGGGGAACAGGGACTCTGTTTGCATCAGCTGTGAAATGAGATGGACAATCTCAAAGATGTTTCAGAGGCCTTGGAGCAACCCGGAACTGTGTGATGTAGGCTTTGTTAGGTAACAGTTCTTTTACAGAATAGGATTGCAATTGGGAAATATATATCCTATTCCATTCCATAAAATGAAGTAGGAAACAGACTGAATCTAGATGTTGTGTTAATTATTAGTTATTATTATTATTATGGAGTTAAGATATCTAATTTAAGATGTCAAAGTTAAGATATGGCATTGATTTGTAAATTCCAGTTCAACAATCTTCTACAGCAGTTACAATAAGCACCTTATTCTTATATCCCTTGCCCCCTTGAGCAAGCTGTTTGTTTTCTAATTGTTCTCTATAACCAGTGAACTTCTATTTTTTGTACCCCTATGAACTTAAGCTAATATTTTCTCCCAGGGAAAGAGAGATTAAAGTTTTCAGTGGAATGCCCTGAAGTCCCAAAGGTAGAATTCCAGGCATCAGCCAAAAGGACAGAAAGTCCTGGAGGGAGGGTCAGGGTAGGGAGTTCCTCGAGTTCCAAGATTTACAACTTCCAGCCAAGCATTGGTGGCCGCCTTCACCGCCGGGTGAGACTGGACCTGGCCATGATAAAGTCTGTCAAAAGAAGCAAATTCGGCAAGCTGGATAGCAGCATGAATGTTGATGCAATTCCAGCCTGAGGTTTAATGCCACAATTAAAAGAATAACAAACCCTCCTGCTGAGAAGCCTTTTGGCCACTCTAGACCTTTTAATTCCCATCAGAAAACAGCATGTCACTTCCAAGGGTTACCCACAACAGGGCTTGCTTTGGAGACCTAGAGGCGTAATTATCTATTGGGAGGGGGGAGGCTGAGGTCAGCCTGGCTGGGGCGAGGGTCTGCCCTTTGTGCAGATATTGGAATGTCTCGGAATTCCTGCCAAACTCAATCAGCCAGGGCCGCGTCTCATGAGAAGTTACTTCGGGAGGTTATTAGTCTGCCCTGCTGCTGACTCAGGCAGCCTTCCCTAAGCTAACCAGAGGCAGATGAATCTGTGGGAAAAGCTCTGTCTTCATCATGAAGCCCACAAGATGGAGGTGGGCCCTGAGCCCTCTGTGTCCTTCGGTGAGTTGTGCACATCTCACCGAACTGTGCTCCAGGAGAGCAGGGACCCTGCCAGTCTCATTCACCTCTGTGTCCTTGTGCCCAGTTCACAGACAGCACACAGTGAGAGCCTGGAGAGAGAAGAAATAGCTCTCTCTGTCTGCACAGTGCTTTCTCTTCTCTTCCAGATACTGTTCACCTTTCAAGGCTCAAGTTCCACTCCCATGTGAAGCTTTCTCTGCTCACAGCAGCCCATTCTGATCTATTTCTTCACAGAGCAGTGTGTCTCCTGGTGCCCCCAACACTAACTTAACCCCCACTGGTTAATCTTGAAGCTGAGTGAGCTCCTTGGAGCCAATGCTTGTACTTCTCCCATCTTTACTTATAGCATCAGATACAATGTCTTTCACGTGGCAGAAATCAATGAACAGGAGAAACCTACAATGCTGGAGTGGGAAAGTGCTGCCCAGATCAACTAGGCCAGTGGGTTTCTAATTTTTTTCCTATTAAGCAGCAAAAAGAACCCTGTGTTCTTTTCAAATGAATGATTATGGAATCTCCTCCCCTGCATATAAAAGGTAAGAAGTTTGCTTCTTTGGGTTGAGGAGTGTACAGAGATTCAGAAAGCCCATCTCTTATCTTTCTCTCCCACTCTCGTCCCTGGGGCAGCACTTGAAAAATCACAGATCTGTCTAGGACCTTCCTTTTACAAATGAGAAAGCTGAAGGCCAGAGAAATAGAGTGACTTGGCCAGGTTCACACACTTATTTTAGCGGCAAATTTGGGAGGGGGACCAAGGTCTTCAAACTGTTACCTAAGTGACCTTTCCATTCTATGACATTAACTTTTGGCTGAAAGAAAGAGAAAGGAAGGAAAGGAAGAAGGGAGGGAGGAAAGAATGGAAGGGAGGAAGGAAGGGAAACAGTAGTGAGGGGGGAGAGAAAGGAAATAAAGGAAAAACTATATATTCAATACATCATGGAGAGTTTATATTTTCTTCTTTCTGACCTCAGCATCAACACAGCCTTATGCTTGGTATAGCAGAGCTCCTCTCCAGTTAAAAGTTCAAAGATTAAGTTTTGTATGGAGAATTTCAGAAAAGAAATTTAGGTACAAATATTAATGATTAACTCAAATAGTTATTAATACTAAAACTTCACACTATCAACTTGAGTTCTTACAGTTAGTAATTCCTATAGTTACCACAATGGCTTGGGTATTTGAAGCTATGTTCCATGGATAACTTCAAGGAGGGCATGCAGGCATGCAAAGCAGGCCCTGCTTCATTTACAAGAACAGCTTGTCTGAATCCTTCTTTCTCTGGTTCTGTTTCTTGTGATGCATGGTTTTCTGAAGTACAAACCCAATGATTGCACCAATTCGTTCCTTTGCCCAGGCCTGCTCTCCCGGGCCCAATGTGTCTACATCCACAGGGATGAGTTGCACAGGTTGCCCGAGTGTTGGCTGGGCTATGCGTGCTTTTTTTCTTCCCTTCCTGACTGCAGAGTGGGACCTCCTCTTCTTTTCTAGATCCTGCTCACCTTTCAAGGCTCAAGTTTCATCCCCATGTGAAGCTTTCTATGCTCACAGCAGCCCACGTGCTGATCTCTTCTTTCTCAGAGCATTGTGTCTCCTGGTGCCCCCAATCCGAACTTAACCCCCACTGGTTCTGTTGATTCCTTTGTGCTCCATTTCGCAGTCTACTTAATGAGAAAATGGAAGCTCAGAAAGATTAAAAGACCTGCCCAAGGCCAACCCAGCTAGTTAGTATTAATCAAGCTTAAAACCCATGTTTTTGATGCCAAATTGACACTGTCTACACTCTCTATAATCATTGCTCCTTAAAATTCATTTTAGCTCAGTGAGGCTACAGTCAATATGACAAAGCAGTTACTTTAAAACCATAATATCCAGATTTCATAGTTGTATTACAAACACTTGAAGTCTTCCATTTTTAATCATTCATTTGAACAAATATTTATCCACAAACTACTTAGTGTCAGACACTGTTGTCATGCCAGGTACATACTGCAGGCCTCTTTAACATGTGTGTGAGTGGTATGCTAAGTCTGCTCAGTCAGCATGTTCTCCTCCACCTATTCCAGGAAAAGTCAGTGCTGTCAGGATGCTTCATGGGGTTCTTATTTTCTTATTATGTTTCAAGAGAATCATTGAACTTGGTACTTGCATTTCTATTTGACAAAATGTGGAACAGGGGAAAGAATATAGCCATGATAGGTAGAAATAAATCAATTTATTAATATTTCAATTAACATTTCTATGGATATTAATGGATATATTAATAGCCACCCAGTGCAGTATAAGCAAAAGTGAGTTTGTGGTAGTTACTACATGGGTGTTTCCCCATCTACGTTTCGAGGGTATAAGTTGGGCTTTACTCATCTTTGTATCCTTCATAGCATGAAAGCTTGCACATCATAGATGCTCAACAAAGTTTGCTGATTGCTAGGTATGCCTCTTAATATTACCCTATGCTTACCAAGGAATATAGGTCAGGTCTACGTTAGGATGCTCACCTAATGTAGGCATCCACAGCATTTTCTAATAGATCCACAGAGTTTTCTAATACATCAAGTTCATCTACAAGGCCAGTTTTAAGTGATTTTCTAGCTCTGATATGGTTTGGCTCTATGTCCCCACCCAAATCTCATACTGAATTATAATTCCCAATGTTGGAGTTGGGGCCTTGTGGGAGGTGATTAGATCATGGGGGTGGTTTCTAATAGTTTAGCACCTTTCCTGTAGTGTTGTCTCATGGTGGAGTTTTCACAAGATCTGGTTGTTTGAAAGTGTGTAGCATCTTCCCCTTTGCATGCTATCTCTCTCCCGTCAGTCATGTGAAGATGTGCCTGCTTCTCCTTCACTTTCCACTATGATTGTAAGTTTCCTGAGGCCTCCCCAGAAGCAGAAGCCTGTACGGCCTGCAGAACCATGAGCTGATTAAACCTCTTTTCCTTATAAATTACCCAGTCTCAGCCATGTCTTTATAGCAGTGTAAGAATGGCCTAATACAACTTCCATGATATCATCCTTGGAAAAAATGTTTTTTTCCATCTGCTGGCTGATTCTATTAGTTTGATTAGGACCAACTTTTTAGTTCCAGAGATGAAACTAGCAACTGTAAGTTAGAAAGGGTAGGATCTCTACCTGAAAATTAACATGAATGGCAGAATTTTTCACTATTCCAGGCAGAGCACTCTGTGTGTTGGGTGGAGAAGGAGGTGGAGATGTTTCCTTAGTCTGTGGGGTCCCTGTGGAAACTGGGTCCATTTTTGGCTGATCAAGAGAGAAACTTCCTCCACTATGGGTCTGAGTCGGTACAGTAAGAATGAAACAGAGTATCTCATATCCTCAGGTCACCCCAGAGATATGTCTTTGTGTCCCAACTATTTGTGGGACCACAGCCCTAACTCTTATTGAGAATGCTGGGACATCTGGAGCCAGGCAATAGAGGCACAGTTCATCCACAAATTCTTTATATATATATGGATAAAATCTAAACACTCTTACCCTTCAACCTTTACATTTGGGGCTACATTCGAACTTCTATGTATCATAGTCAACTTCTGATTACAGTCCTATTGGCCTCAACTAATTTAGAAGGTGGTGTTGTGGCCAAAGAAATGAAGTGCCATTACACAATGGAGTGTGTAGTATCATTCCAATGTAAGTAGCATTAAAAAATATGCTTTGTTCTTGGTATACATTCCCTCTAACTTCTCATCAATACAACGATGCTGGAAATTTCTTTATCACATATTGGGCGATAAGGCTTAAAATGAATGTTTCTCTGAGAAAGGGAACATCATGATTTATACTCACATAAGGTAAATGACAGGTTTGAAAGATTTTGTACAGCAGATTTTGATCCAGAGGCACACAGAAACAGTTAGAAGTAAAATCTGGGGAGAGGGTGGTATATAAGATGAAGATATGCTCCAGAAGAAGTCTGAGTAGAGAACAAGTGTTTGCTAAAAGCTGGCCCTGATGACCTTCAAGGTAACCCCATGATATGAACTCTCAGGATACTGCTTCACTGAGGCTGTGGTGCAGCCACAGAATAGGGTAGCCATTGTTGGTGGCGACATAGGCTAATAGTAAGTTTCTGGGGCCCATCTATTCAGAAGCTTGGTCAACAGAGACTCCCAAAGAATCACTTGCTTGATCACACCCTGAGTAGACAGAACCTTGGATTTACCTGCAAGTTACTGACAGAAAGTACTTGAAAACATTCTGAACTAGCCACGGTACTGGTTGTTGAGAAATGATGTCTGGGAATTCCGCTCTGCCTTCCCACCCTTCCAGCTCCCCCCAATCCAGTAATGGCCTTGTGATCTCATCCTCTAAGACAGATTTTGCAGGCAGAATGAGTCTGATGTATGTAAATCTTGTGCCCTCACCAGACTCTCCCGGGGAGGCTGCCGTGAAGAAAATCTATTGCCCTAATCAATTACCAAACTTCCAAATGAAATAGATTGTTCTCTCTTGCTGGAAGACCATCAAGCTGTCATTTTTCTTGGTAATGAGCAGCAGTGCAGGAGGGAAATTGCACTTTCTCTGTGGCACTGGATGAAGGGGTTCCAGTAAGCAAGGGCTGACCAGGAAAGCAGGGAGTTACCTGCCAAAATGATGGAAAGGCATCTGGAAGCCTCTCTCTCTTTTAAACTGTACTCCAACGAATTTCTCTTGACTCTTCAGTATGCATCAGGCAATTTTCTGGGTATGGCAGTGTAAAACTGAGAAAGGACTCTTCTCCCTGGCCTAGGTATCGCCCATCTGACTTTGATTTTTTTTTCTCCACTCCTTCCATGCTAGTCTGGTTCACTCCTAATTCCTGAGCTATATCTGAAGAGGACAAGAACTCATTTGGGACCCTCACCTCCACCATCTGATGGGGACTGGAATTCATCTGTTGCCCAGGGATGCTCCATGGATATTGGTATATAGTTCCCAAGCATTTCTCTTTCTGCTGAAATGTGCTCCTGTACATGCATCTGGGCTCCTGCCTTGGTTTACCCATATAGCATCTTTATTCCAATTTGGGCTTGGAATAGCACCTCAAACTTTAGTCTGTTTGCCTGGGCTCTGCCTAGGTTCCTTCCCTGAGAGCTGAGAGCCCATTTTTCTACCTTCCTCTTTCTTCAGGGTCAATGCCTTGATGCCACAGTCTACCTGTCTTCAAACACTGCTCCTCCTCTGAATATTTTCTTGCCATAGTGCTTTATCTCCTAAAGTGAACTCCCTGGTGTGCAGATGGAGGCTTGAACCCTATGTGGTATCACCAAGCACCTTGGGATCTGTACTCTTCATCCAAAGTACTTTTTATAAGGACCCTTCCAGGGAGCAGTACTTGACACAAATGGAAGAACTCCTATGGGTAGAAATTGGGACACTTGGGTTAGTTTCCTCTTCCCTTTGTATGTAGTTTCAACTTCCTTCTTTCTCAAACACATACACCTGAGACCCCAGCTCATCCTGCAAGCTTTTCCTGGTTATGGCACTTACTCACCTTTCAAGGTGCTCACTTTCCAAATGGAGAGACAGCTAGACATTTAACAGCTAAATATCAACCACTGTGATAAGGTAATCTGTAAGGTGTGTACTAAGGGTGGTGGGAGTGAGCCCAGGGAAGGGATATAATAAAGAACAGATTGCAAGGAGACCTTAAGGGAGGAGTAAGAGTCGACTTAGGGGACAAGGGTCTTCTAGTGGATCCCAAAAGGATCCACTCCTGAGTGATGTCAGAGAGTCTGAAAAATTAATGTTTAAGCTACTATATAAATTCTAGAATTTCAGAGATCCACTGCCCCAAAATATAGAGGTGTATCAATATTCTCCCCATAGGAGCTATAACCTAGTTGGGGAGGAAATTTTCTCACAGAGTAAATAGTGAAATAATAATGTAAGGCTATACATAATAAAGTGCTACTTTAAATAGAAACAAGTGCCAAGGATGTGTCAAGTGCAAAGATGTCTGGGCCAGATAATGCCCCTTGCAGAAGGCTGGGAAAAAAGAAAAAAAAAACAACAATAAAAGGGGAGTTAACACAGGAGCTAGGAATGGGGACCTTTCTGCTGTCTGCAAATCATATGATGTGGATGGCTGACCTCTTGGCCTCTGCCCTGCAGAGGACTCTCTTGGATTTTCAGGAGAGGAGGGGGAAAAAGAAGTCTTATTAAAAATAACAGCATTTGGTGTGCATGTGTGTGAGTGCTGTGTACAGACACATTTAACAGTGCAGCCGCTCTGAGCATTGGCTGGTGGGGAAGAGTCCTGAATGCAAAGTGAGGTGAGTGGCCTTTGCAAATGCCAGCTGGAAATGCTGCTCTGCTGTGTAAGCAGGACAAGAACAAGCTAGGGAACTGTCACCTCTCCAAACAAGTTCTCTCAATGACGGGATCAGCTGGCTGTTCTGAGAGGGGCTTTGGGCATCTCTATGCCTCTCTCGGTGGGTAGAAACCCAAGTATGGGGAGCATGGCTGAATGCCTTTTGATTCTGCCTCTGGGTGGGGCATTGGCTTAGATCACTTTCGGGAGGCAGGACCCTGATCAGCAGGCAAAGGGGAAGGCAATATTGTGACATTCCATGAAAGATTGGGCCAGGCTGTCCTCCTGTGGACACCACTCCACTGGTGGCAGGGTTGGACTGGGGGTACTCCCTGCCTCCACAGTAGGAGCCGCATAGAGGGGCCTGGGAGTATAGGAGAGCCTGGTCTTTTGTTCTATATGCCTTCTCATTTTCCATCAAACCTACGCTTAGTATGGCTTGGGGGCACAGATAAATCACTATAAGTTGCATGATCTTAAGGAGTTTACTTTATCTCAGACAGGCTCATTTTTTTCTCCCCTATCACATGGGAATTGTAATGACCACTGTAAAACACAAATCTATTGTCACATTTAAGTGTGAGAATAATTATAAAAAACATTTAGCACCTGTAAGAAGCCATCCAAAATGCTCACTTCCATGCCCCTAATTTTACAGATAAGAACTCGGAGGCTCAAAGAGGTTAAGTGTCTCACTTGAAGTTGTCCATCAAAGAAGAAACTGAGCCTGGAACCTTGGAAGGACAGTGAGGAGGTGAGGGAGAAATGTTTGGGGCTTGGCTCTGCCCCTAACAGGGGGTAGGATTATGGGCAACCCCTCCACTCAGATTTCAGGTTCCCCTTCTGTTAGGCAGAGGATGGATGGGATCCTCTCCAAGGTCTCTCAGGTTCTAACATGGAACCAGCAATGTTCCTTTCTCTATGCAGCAGAGGTCCAGTCCGTGACCTACAGAACTCTGCATTCCATAGAGAAGTCACAGTGTGGGGCCCTGGGTCAGACATCTCTACAAACAAAGTTCATCGCAATGGAACTTCTCAAGGGCTTTGGCCCCTGGAACCTCCCTCAAGAACCATCCAAGGGAGGCAGGGATGGGGGCCCACAGGGTGCAGAGTGGTGGTCACTTGAGTGGCAGATTGCCGACACCATGTGACCTGGCTTCCCAGTCTCAACTTTTCCATTCTGCCCAGTTTATTTTTCTTTCCCTGTCCCCTCCATGACCTGAAATGCTGTCACAACCATATCTGGGCTTTTCTGTAAATGTCTTTTTTTTCTTTTAAACCTTGATTGCTTTCATGCTAATAAACTAGAACTGAGGCTTACTGAGAAAAGAGAAGTAGGTTTCCCTGAAAAACATTTATGTGTATGTAACAGAAACAGATAGAGACTGAGAAAGAAAGACAGAGGTAGCGAGAGAGAAAACCACAGGAAGAAAACTTATGGAGAATTTGAAAGAGAGACAAGCAGATATTGATGGCCAGAAAGACAGAGAGAGAGATATATATATATAGGGAGGAGATGACTGAGGTAAATTTAGGCAGAGACAGGGAGATTTGGTCCATCTCCTCTTGTGTGCCTATCTACAAAGAGGGATGTGATGGAAACAGTTGAATCCACAGATGAGTTGGGTAAGACTGGGCAAGGTATCCCATGAAGGGACACATAGAGTCTTCATTTTCCTTCTACTTCTTGGACTCTTCCAAAGGCTTGCAATACCACTGGCTATACAGGAGGCTCCAGGATAGAGTCATGACCATCTGAAGTCCCTGAGTTTGGGGCCATGGGTCCTCTATCCTAGCATTTTGCCTCAGATGGATCTGAAGGTTTGGGGGATGCTGGCATTGTTATCCATGAAATCAACTCAAAGGTCATCTGTCACCCCCCAATATCTTGATAATTTGTAATTCTGTTTACATGTTTACATATTTTTGTCTCATTTGCAAGACCAGTTTGTTAATTCCCTGGAGTAGGCATTTTTGTGTGTGCATGATGCCTTGAACCTAGTAGCCCTTTGATAAAGTCCAGTTGAGGGACTGGGCCTGTGTCAGACAGCTTCCAGTGGCCCATCAGAATGGAGGATTCCAGAAGATTGGGTGACCCATCTAAAGGACACTGGCCATTCTACAGAAACATCTTGTAGAAAGTTGAGCACCCATTAGTAGGCTGGCAAGCAAAGAAAAGATGAAGGCTGTATTAGTCTGTTTTCACACTGATGATAAAGACATACCTGAGACTGGGCAATTTACATAACAAAGAGGTTTAATGGAGTTACAGTTCCACATGGCTAAGGAAGCCTCACGATCATGGCAGAAGGTGAAAGGCACATCTCACATGGCGGTAGACAAGAGAAGAGAGCTTGTGTAGGGAAACTCCCCTTTTTAAAATCATCAGATCTCATGAGACTTATTCACTATCACAAGAACAGCATGGGAAAGACCTGCTCTCATGATTCAATGATCTCCCACTGGGTTCCGTCCCACAACACATGGGAATTCAAGATGAGATTTGGATGGGGATACAATCAAACCGTATCAAAGGCCCTGCCCTCTTCCAAATACTAATAGAGGAAGAGAAGAGTCACAGCAAGAACCCAAGTGAAGACTAGCCTGTAAACAAGTCAACACAGGAAGACTCAGGAGGTCAGCCCCAGCTAGAACATGAGATCTACGCAGAACAATTTTTCAGAGTTCTGAGATGCCTCTGTTGAGCATGTTGGATGATGATGTTTCTAAGTATTCCAGTCTTTCTTACCTTTGAGATAAGCAGAGTACATGGAATCTATTTTAAGCTTGCATTATAGGATTGGAGTGGTACCTGGCAGGCTCTTGTTTGTTCAGGGATATTTGCCCCATTGCCAGATGGCCCCAGATTGCCATGTTTTTCTAGTTGGTTCTTCTTACCTTTTCTCACAGTTCCTATTTATTCCTGTTGTATGTTTCTGCTTCCTTATTTTACTTTGCAGTAAGCAAAGAGAGTCTGATGGGACTCACATGAGGGAGAGTTACAGGGACACTCTCACCATTCTTGTCAACTGGCCAATTTTATTCATTTCTCAAGTAGCTTAAAAGTCCCTTCTTCCAGGAAGATGTCCGCTCCCCAAACGGCAGCAGAAGCTCCTCTGCATTTTTCTGCCTAAGATACCTACCTCCCTGAACACAGTTACATGCTCAATAGGCTGCCTCCACCATCAGATTGTATGCCCACTGAGGACAGAGTCTGTGTCCCCACAGATTCTTTAGTGCCCAGGACTGCAGGGTGACAGTGAGTGTTCAATCCATATTTATTTAATGTGGATGTGTGTGACCTGAGGGTCAGCCTGGTCTCTCCCATGGAGGAAAGCACTTCCCTCAATGCTAGACCCTGGTTATGGGGCAGAGCTTACCAAAGACTGATTTCTGGGTGAAGCATGACATGGTGCTCCTGTGGTCCTCTCTGCTCCAGCCTGCCTTGTTTCCTCCTTGTCACTCTCTCATCTGACCTCTGCGCATTGACTTCTCTGCCGGTCATCAATGCTCTCCCAACTCCTCCTCTTTGGCAACCTGCCCTTGAGTTCAGAGACCACCTCCCCTAGGACCTTCCCTGACTCTACTTGAACCCTCCCCTCCTAGGGTCTGTAGTGCTCATTTCAGTGTGCCTCTCACAGTGGGGACCCGGGATTATGATGTCATCACCTTGTGTAGTTATAATCTCCCTTTCTTACACAAAAAAGACAACACTGGAGCTGTAGGGATTCGTAGACCTTGTCCTGTCCATCTCCTTCAATGTACAGGAAAGGACAGTGAAGACAGGGAGCTCAAGTGACCTCCTCCAGGGTATATAGCTGGTGAGTGGTGATATCCCCTTGAGGAGGGGGTAAGTCAGGTTCCCCTCAGGGGAGGAAAGTCAGGTCCTCTCACTTTACGTCTGGGCAGATTCCAGTTCCCCTTCATTCCTAGGATTTTGTACACCATGGTACCCTAGCCCAGGGCTTGAATATCAGTTTCTTAGGACTGCTGTGACAAATTACCAATAAACTCGGTACTTCAGCATAACAGAAATTCATTCTTTCACAGTTCTGAAGCTAGAAATCCACAACTAAGGTGTTGGCAGGGCCATGCTCCCTGTGGAGGCACTAGAGAAAAAATTTTCTGGCCACTTCTGACTTCTGGTGGCTCCTGGCATTCCTTGGCTTGTGGTGGCATCACTCCAATTTCTGCCTGTCTTCACATGCCCTTTGTTTCTCTCTCTCATGTCTTTTTCTGTCTCTTCCATTATTGGATTTTTGGGTCCGCCCTATCTAGGATTATATCATTTGGAGAGCCTTAACTTGTCTGCAAAAAACTCTTATTCCAAATAAATTCACATTCCAAGGTTCTGTGTAGAACTATTTTTTTGATGGGGCACGATTCAACCCACTACAGCTCGGAATTCAGCAAACACCCAGTTGCCACTGGATTACTGACAGATAGTGGCTCTGCTGGTGTGTGATCAGGCTAACTGGACAACTAGAAGAAGGCTCTGTGGAGGTGGTTGGGTTTGATGGGGAGAAGAAGGTTGGGTTTTCTAAGTGAGGATAAAGTGAAGGGCAGGTCTCAAAGGCTACTGGGAGCAGGACTCCTGAGAGACTTGAGGATGGGGCCTCAGTTAGTGTGTGAGTCAGAGCTGGGAGGGGTACAGGACTGGACCTGACACCTTCAAGGTCCCCCTGCAGCCTCAAAGCTGGCTGCAGCCTTGAAGCTGGAAGCAGAATCTCCTGCTGGGAGGCTAGCAGACACTTTGCAGTAAGCAGGAAGCGGTGAGCCTCCCTCCCTCAGAACATCTTTTTCAAGAAGGTGCTTCTCTGAAGTTTTCAGCTTGGCCCTCCCTCCCCACCCTAGTTCTGCGGAGAGAAATCCACATCAGAATGGACAGGGTGAAGGCAAGTGGCCCCGTCACACATCCCAGTCAGCTACTTGAGAAGAAGATGAGAGAGGAGGCAAGGCTAGGCTTTGTGAAACGTGTAGGCGGGTCTATACACAAACATCGGCTCATACAAATAAACCAAACCTGGCCAAAAATAACAGAAAAGGCAACAGATGCTTCCAATTAAAATGTCAGCGTCTCCTGAGAAGCTGAGTTCTCACGTGGTGTGGGTGCTCGGGGGGCCGAGGACTACTGGAAGGGACCACATATGGAAATCTGTTTGCATTATACCATGTCCCAGATGCCACGTAAGACACTGGCCTGACCTTGCAATTAGCACATTGGCTGTTTCTGGGGTGAGGTATGTGGGGATGCAGGGAAAACTCAGAAAGTTGTGAAAGAGTGATTGTTCCTGCTGGGTCCCATAGGAAGCAAGAAACCCAGGAGCATTCTCAGGGAATATTACCCTGTGGGCTCCTCACCCACTCCGTCTTCCCTCTTTTTTGGTTCCATTTTCCCATATTCTTCAACGTCGTTATGAAAGGAAAATGAATTTACATGGATAGCAGGCAGTCTTGGTGGAAAAAGACTGTCAAAGGCTGTCACAAGGATGTGGCAGGGGGTAGGATGACAGAGGGACAATCCCTGCCCCATCTCCCTGTCTGCCCTTGGTGGTGGTGGTGGTGAGGCATGTAAGACACTGGATGCACACTGGACTATCCAAACAGCCTCTCCCTAGCCTGCTGTACTTCTAATCCCTCATAAAATTGTTTCTTTCCGATTTGCTTTGCTGTTTACTCATCATAGGTCCTCATTTCCCTTTGATCCTAGAGTCACTTTACTTTTATTTTTCTTTTCCTAACTCTCTTTCTTTCTAGCCCCATTGGGTAACTGCTAAGGAAACCAACAAAGGCAGCAATGAAACAGCAGATTCTTTCCCAAATCTCACCATCTCATCAAATCAAGAGGGAGTGTGTATTTGAAAGGGTGCCTTATTCTGATAAATGAATCTCCTTCTTCTCCTAATTATTTTTATTATCATCGCTATTATAATAAAATCCACATTTTATAGCTAAAGATCCAACTAATGTCCACAGAAAGGAAGAACAATGGGGAAATTAATGAACTGAATCCTCATTTGTGTTTCTGCAGGGGAAGATGATAATTTGTTGGTTTTAATAAGTTCCTGGATTGAGTTGCTTCCACAGGCTAGTGCTGCCAGGCCCAGGTATCCACTGGGTAATGCAAGATGTGTAACTCAAATATTTTTATGTGGATTCAAACACATTTTCATTTCTTAATGGTCACTATTACTGACCAGATAAGAGAAAGACTTATCCACATAAGGCAAACAAATGATTAGTTTTGACAACAGAAGCTTAAACAGGATATTAACTAGCAGCCATAGAGATGGGAAGGTTCTGGATGGGAACAGTTATGCAGACAAACCCACAGTATGGCTACTATGTACCAGGGTCCCATCCCTTACCATATGGCTGTGGTCTGGCAAATGGTTCACTGGCAATTCATTACCATATTGTTTGGAACTCAGGAGCAAACCGTTTATGATTAGCAAATTCATTATGCTATCCTTGGTACCTTAAGGGGACACTGTGGGCTTTCCTCCCCTGTTGTTATTTTAAGGACATATGACAGGGAAGGAAGAGCCCTCCCTTTTCCAGCTGCCTCAAAGTACTGTTTGCTGGAAAGTTTGCCGGAATCTAGATAGAATCTTTCAAAAGAAAATAAACAAGCAAAAAATCCCTGCAGTCATGAACTGTAGCCACAGCTGGAACTATTGGAACATTCCAGGAGATGAAAACAAAGATTCCCTCCTCCTTCCCTTCCATCTTACTGAGGACCCATCAGTCACCCTTGTGAGTGCACTTTAGCCATAGCAAGAGCAAGATCAGAGAGAAATAAGGACTTATGACCATTAGACCAGGAGACAGGAAGCGATGGTTCTGGAAGGGGCTCTGTTACTAACTTTGGGTAAGTCAGCTGAATCTTTGATCCTGAGGTTCAGAATCTGCAAAATAGATAAACTCCTCTCTGTTTTACCTACTTCCAGTGGTGTGGGAAGCATCATGAGAACACGGTCTTTGATGGGGATAATTACTCTGAATCTACCAGGCTGATTAAGCCACAGCAGATCAGCAGGTGAGGTATTGGAGAGATTTATTTTTAAGCCATTAGCAAAGGTAGGCAAGAAGAGAGGGGCACCAGTCTCTCTACTATCAATAGGGTCTGCCCACCTCTGTAATTTAGCATTTTAACTAGAGTTGCCAAGAAAGAGTACGTGGAGCTTTGCATAAGGTGAAAAAGTGGAGATTGTGTCTGAGAACTGACTAATAGGAATGTGTTTTGCAGAGACTAAAGCTTGATGGAGTAGTCAAAATTCCTGAAGAGGCAGAAAAGCATTAAGACAGGAGGGTTACAATGGCAAACAGAAAAGGGAAGGAGGAAAAATAAGAACCAGACACTGAGTTAGTCACGTTGGTGTGATTTGTTAAGCATTGGCTAGGGAGGGATGTGGCAGTGCTGAAGGGAAACTTGCTCAGTAAGCACAGAGCATGGGATGACCCCATTTTGGTTAATGTACATAACGTGGAGAGACCCCTTGTAGAGCTTGTTCCCTGAAGCCCACCATAGCCTGTTCCCTAATCTCAAAGCCTGACTCTAAGTAAAAATCCCAGGGCTTAGACAAGGGCCCTAATATCCTAAAAACAAACACAACAATCAAAAATACTATCACTCCCCTGCAGCATCAATCTGACCTAAAAGAAGCATGCTTGCCACAATCAACATTAATTACACATTTAATTAACTCTCACTTTATTTCCTTCTTAGAATTCCAAGGGTCTCTGGGCAAGACTTTCCATGGACCACATCTCTGGAAAGAGCTGCCCATGGAACTTTAAAATGATGCCTTCTTCTTGTGATAAATTTCCCTGTTGCAAGCAGTAGAAGCATTACAAAAGAAAATATTTTATTGATCATTCCTTAAAAAAAAAAAACCAGAAATAGGACACATAGGACACATAGGTCCTTATCAGAATCTTGTGGTTTGGAAGAAGCACCACCTAGAAAATCCAGGATCCTGGGTCTGAATTCTGGGTCTGGTGCTGATTCATGATGCAACATTGAATGTGTCAGTTAACTTATTTATGTTTCAGTTCTCCTATCTACAAAGTGACTGTAAGGTAAACTTTATTACATTGACTAGATGCGCTGTCACAGAATGTTTCTTGGAGCATAATCTTACTATTCCCAGTGATTGCAGAGGTCCGGAGCTGTTCCTTTGCTTTATGAATGTTAAAGAATGAATTAGGGTACTTTTCAGCTTGATCACTCTAGCATCTCATGGTGCAATATTGTTGCCCATGTTTATGATATATGAGGATATAGTGACCCTTGTCCACAACACAAATCCTAGACATGGAACTGTTCCTATGGGAATAAGATGCATTTTATGGTCTTCCAGGTCTGTTGAGTCCAACCAAACACCTACAGCATGCCAGGTGATCTGCTAGGCTCTGGGTTACCGGGATGAGATGGCACAGACCCTGCCCTGGAGGAGCTTATGTTCTCATGGAGGCAGCTTAATCTCTAAACAATTAACTTTAGTTCAAGATGATATGTGAAACAATAGACTATCGAGAGTTTCTCAAAGATTTCCCCCCAAGAATCAACTGCATTGGAAACAACTAGTGAGTTTAACAACCCCACCCCTAATCTTCCCATATCTGTATCTCTCAGGGTGGAATTTGGGAATCTGCCTGTTTCACAAGTCTTCCAGCATCTTCTGCCCCACACTAAAGTCACTATGGGAAAAGTTAACTATGGGAACTCACAGACAGATGCCACGGAATCCTGCCTTTAGGGACCACTTATTTGAGTTCTATGCTCCTCTAAGCCCTGTGAAAAATCCAATAACATTTACTATAGAATCCATTACCTCTAGGAGCTTATACTTTTCTCAAGAGCCATAAAACCAGGATATCACATCCAAGGATAAGAGGAAGAAATCAGGGTTGGAGCTCATGTCCCATGATGTTCTTGCTCTAGCCAAGACTTGTGGGCTTCCTCCTTCATGAGTGATTTTTTCCCCAGAGCGGAAGTCACTTGCCCCACCATGGGAAGATGTAGCTCTGCCCAAGACTCTGGGACCACTCTGATCCGGGGAAAGTGTTGAGAAACCTTTCAGGAATCCCTTGTCACTTCCAGTCCTGCTCTGACTGGGTAATTCATTATCGGACCTTGACTGTGTTCTGGGTACTCTAAAGCTAACTTTATCCTTGCCCAGTGTCCCGGCAACTCTATGGCCCTTGCTCTTCTGCATCTTTGCCAGGGACATGTCCTTCACCTGCACCCTGTTCAACAGAGACAATGACACTTCTCTACATGGCAATGCAGCCTAATGCAGGTGGGAGACGAAGCATTTATACAAAAAGCATTGTGCTGGAACTACATAGCAACTTACACATTTTCCAGAGAGATAATATTATGTTCACTTTATTAATATGTTTTAAGGACTCAGTCCACAAAGCTGGTAAGTGGACGATTCAAGTCTCAGGTTGGTCCTGACTTACTCATAGTTTGTGGCCCTCATCATAATCACAGGTCCCTTATAAGGGGAGTGTTGATGGACAGGACATAAGCAGAGAGTCACTCTCTTTTCCTGGCTATCCTCACCTTTGGCGAGCCAGTTTGCCAGAGTCAAAATAGTCTGGCATTTGGAGGCTTCTCTGTTCATTATTCTCTGTGTGATCTTGGGCAAGTTATAGCCTTTTTGATCCTCAGGTTCTTTGCTGGTAAAACGGGACAATACACACATACTAGAGGTCACTGTTGAGTGAACTGAATGAAATAATATAGGTAATGTCCTTAGCTCAGTAATGTTAGCTTCTCTCCCGTTTCCTCTCTTCCTGCCCTTGTATGTGGAGCCCCAGACCCTTGTCTTTCCTCACCCCTGCAAAGGAGGTCCTTTTGAGAAATACTTCTTGCTATGTTATCTTATCTGACAGTGACCAGGCTTGTTCTCACAAGACAATAGCTGATCCCTTCCTTCTCATAGTGCTGTGAAAATCCCACCTCTTCCCGAAACCAGATAGAACCTGGTGAAAAGGTAGAGACGGATCCACTTTAACTTTGCTGGTCTGTTTGCATTTGCCCCTGACCTTTATATTCTGAGTCTTGGCTGGGTGCAGTGAAGTAAAGAAGGGGCTGGGAACAAGGAATGTGCAACAGTTCTGACCACCATGCTCTTTCTTGAGGAACTGGAAACCTGCTAGAGATTACTAACACACTCATGCGTCAGGATAAGGGCAGGATTTCTTTTTTTTTTTTTTTTTTTTGAGACGGAGTCTCGCTCTGTCGCCCAGGCTGGAGTGCAGTGGCGCGATCTCGGCTCACTGCAAGCTCCGCCTCCCGGGTTCACGCCATTCTCCTGCCTCAGCCTCCCGAGTAGCTGGGACTACAGGCGCCCGCTACCACGCCCCGCTAATTTTTTGTATTTTTAGTAGAGACGGGGTTTCACCGTGTTAGCCAGGATGGTCTCGATCTCCTGACCTCGTGATCCGCCCGCCTCGGCCTCCCAAAGTGCTGGGATTACAGGCGTGAGCCACCGCGCCCGGCCTAAGGGCAGGATTTCAAGTCAAGGATTTCAAGAAAGTATTTTATAGCAACCCAGCATGCCAGAGAGAAAGCAGCACTCCTTGGGGTGGGTTCCAATATAGGCCAAGTGATCAGGAGGAGTGATTATTTCTACAAAGGATAATCTTTCTTGTACACTGTATTCTTTCTCTCCATGCCCCCTTTTAAAAAACAATAAGTAGCCAATTATTACCAATTTATTTGCGGCTTCTTATAATTATATTATCCATGATTAACTCACTGGAGTCTAATTTGACTCTAGAGTTATTTTGTAGGAATGCTCTATCGTCAGGCATAGTGAGACTCTTGTCAGAGCAGGCTCACTCTGTTTGGCTCACAGAGTTCAATTAATGCACGTGGAGAGAGACAAAGAAGAGGATGAGAAATGGCAGGCGCCCTGGTCTTGCTGAGTTGCAAAGTCCCTCCACATTCATTATTTCATTTGATACTCAGACTAGCTCTATGAGGTAGCTAAGATACCTATGATCATCTCCAGTCTACAAACTGGGACATGGACCCAGGTCAAATCACAATGTGGTGCCCAAGATGGGATTAAAACCCAATGTTGACACCCTCCTGGCCCCTCTTCCCCAACACACTGCAGCTCCAAGGATATTGATCAATGATTTTGACAGTGATCATTTCTGTAATACTTAGAAGTTTGCAAAGTATTTCAAATTCCTGATCTTATTTAATCTTTACAACAATCCCGCAAGGCAAAGAAGAAATTATAATACCCATTTTTATAGAGGAGATAACTTTGGTTTAGAGAGGTGAATTGCCCAAGATCATACAGCCTTTAAGGTGTGAAAACTGGATGAGAATCCTGGGATCAGCCTCCTGATAAAATGTTTTATTCTATTATAGCACCTCTGAATGTCGAGCACTCACCAGAAATGTATGGTTTAAGTGTAGTGTGGATCAGCCACATGACATCATAGTTACATTTTGTAAAAACAGCTATTTTCTGTGACAGAGGCTCTTCTTAATTTAGGGACCTTTTGAGATAATGTTTACACATGTATATACATATGTGTGTATGTGAATATGTATCAATAAAATGACATTTTGGGGAGACTCTAACATTGCCATCAGAGTCTCAAAGGAGTGTGTGACCCCAAAACAACCAGTGAGTCTGGTGATTCTCGTCTCTTCTCCACCAGTGAAAAATGAAGGTGGTGGTGGTGGTGTTTGGGACTGGGAAGAAAATGAGAAGGCTTTAGAGAAGACCAAGGGGACAGAGTCATGCAGGCCAAATGAGGTGAAAGTTTTAAGGGGCTGGGTCCAAGTAATGGTTACAGTGACAAAACTGCAGAGGCTAAAGGCTTAAACAAGTTGACACATTCAGCAGTTAGAGAAGTTTCTGTGGAGCTGTGGGAACAGAAAGCTGACTGTGGGTGTTAAAGAAGGTGGAGAGTAGGAAGGAGAGACAGTGAGTGCAGAAACCTTTCTTTACAACCTGGCAATTAAGCAAAGTGGAGAGATGGAATGCCAGCTTGGAGGGGAAAGCAGGACCAAGGAAAGTTCTCTCTCTCTTTTTTTCTTTCCCTTAAAATGGGAGGAAGACTAATTGAAAGGGAGAGACCAGCTGAGGGAGAAGGAGCCTAATTAGGAGACAGGAGGAGATGAATCCTGAGCTGAGATGGAGGTTAACTTCAGAGCAGATCTGACAGTCTCCAGGAACAGGAGTGGAGATGGGAGGGAGAGGTGAAGATACAGAGGGAGTGTGAGCTTCTTGCATGATTCCTGCCAATTTCATCTACCGTAGAACTTATGGTGTTGCAGCAAACGGCAAGTGACACCATTCAACCAGGCTGCTTCCTGTCACCCTGGGCACAAAACTTCTTGGCTCTGGGCGTCTGGCAGCTTCTCGCTGCCCTTCCCTGTCTGTTTTGCATCCTTATTTCCCAGCTTCAGGCACTGACCCTGTCAGGTGCTTCTCCTTGAGCTCTCAGCCTCACAGAACTCTTCTGAGGGTGATTTCAGTAGTAAAATACAGAAATGTGTTCCCGGGAAGTATGTAGCTGGGAAATTGTTTTCTTTGTTGTTGATTTATTTGATTGCTAAATCTTTTTTAAAAACTTGCACTACACAATGTACAGATATATTGCATTATAGTTATGAAATAGATTATATTTGTCACTTTCTATTTTTAAAGTTTTTTTTTCTGGTCCTTGGACAGGAATGGACTTCCATGTTGTTTCTAAGGCATGAACAGAATCTTCCTCTTATTTTACTTTTAGTGGCTTTCCCAGAAACATAACCTCCTAAGTCTATGAAGGAAACATTTTCAATGAGATCTTGAAGCTTGTCTAAAGGCTTTCCCCTTGCTCTCCTCCTGCAGTTCTCCAGCTATTATATTTCTGATAGAAGGTATTCAGAAGGCATTCATAGGCAGAATCAGATTGCACGGACAGCTTCCTTAAGCTCCTGAGTCATTGGGCCATTTTCGCTGGGGACAGATCCGTCACCAAAAAATCCTCTCTGCTTGCCAAGCTAGTTAGTGACCACCCCATTCTACTTGTGAAACTGCCCCATGGCAGGATGTGGCATATTTGGGGCTTACTTTTGAATCCTCCCTTCTCAATGGGAACACCATGCCTACTGGTTGTTCTTTGTCTCTAATGTGCTCATTGTCAGCCCGCTGCTGCACTGTGGGTACCAGCAGGGCATACATCAAAGCTGGAAATGGATTTCGTTGGAAAGCTCAAAGCCAGGTGTCAACAGAGAGGCCTTGTCTGGCCACCCTTGAAAAACAAAACCTATTCTCTTGCCCCACTGCTCTCTGTTTCCCTTGCTTTGTTTTATTATTTTGCATAGGACATAGGGTGTATTGCCCTCTGCCTGAAAGATTGTATGTCTATCTCTTCAGTTGAATATGACCCCCACACAGGATAAGAAACGTTTTCTGTTTTGAACCTGTTGTATCCTCACTGGCCTAACACAGTGCCTGATGCCTGGAAGGGGATCAATACACGGTTGTTGAATTAACTGTTGAATGACTGTGGCTATCAGGTTCATGCTTGCAAGAGTCCAGGAAGCAGTAGGGTATAGTGAGGAAAGAGCCAAATTGGGAACCAAGAAATCCAGCAATCACTTTCTGCCTCTGTCATCAGCTAGTATGTGTGTGTGTATATATACACATATACACACTCCCATATATATGGGAGTTTATTAGAGAGAATGGGCTTCACACTATTACAAGGCAAAGTCCCACAATAGGCTGTCTGCAAGCTGGGGAAGAGAGAAGCTGGTAGTGGCTCAGTCTGAGTCAGAAAGCCTCAATCCAGGGAAACTGACAGTGCAGACTTCAGTCTGTGGCCAAAGGCCTGAGAGCCTCTGGCAAGCCACTAGTGCAAGTTCCAGAGTCCATAAGCCAAAGAACCTGGAGTCTAATGTCCAAGGGTGGAAGGAGCAGGAAGAAGTCTCCAGCATGGGAGAAAGAAGGCAGCCAGAAGGCCCAGCAAGCAGTTATCTCACCTTCCATTTTTTTTTGAGACGGAGTCTTGCTCTTGTTGCCTAGGCTGTAGTGCAGTGGTGCAATCTTGGCTCACTGCAACCTCTACCTCCTGGGTTCAAGCAGTTCTCCTGCCTCAGCCTCTGCAGTAGCTGGGTTTACAGGCACCTGCCACCATGCCTGGCTAATTTTTGCTAGAGATGGGGTTTTGTATTTTTGCTAGAGATGGGGTTTCACCATGTTTGCCAGGCTGGCCTCGAACTCCTGACCTCAAGTGCCTGCCTCAGCTTCCTAAAGTGTTGGGATTACAGGCGTGAGCCACTGCACCCAGCCAAGGTTATCCCACCTTCTTCTGCCTGCTTTGTTCTAGCTACCCTGGCAGCCAATTGGATGGTGCCCACCCACACTGACAGTGGGTCTTCCTCTCCCGGTCCACTGACTCAAATGTCAATCTCCTCTGGCAACATCCTCACAGACACACCAAGGAACAATATTTTACCAGCTATCCAGGCATCTTTCAGTCCAATCAAGTTGAAACCTAATATTAACCATCACACTTGGAAATGTTACTTCTCTGAATTTCACACTCTTTTGTATAATAAAGATGATACTTCTTTCATAGGAGGGTTGTGAGCACTGAATGAAATTAAGTATGTTAAGAATTGAGTTTGTTCACATTTGCCGCTACTATTAGGGATCAAGTTGCCCTTGGTAATGGGAATCATCTCTGCTCATTCTTCTTTCTCACTTCAACTGTCTGGTTTGAAAACAGATTATCACATTAATAGGCATGAAGCATTGGCCCCAGGAAACTGGTGTTGCCACACGGAGCTTCATGAGGCCTTTGCTCACATGAATTGCTAAAGTGCCTTTGGGTGGTCTTCAAACTTTCAGCAAGCAGGTCAGACCTGGGAGTTGGCGCTTGCCAAGGTGCTGGGATAGCAGCACTTGGTCTCATGACATAGGCGTTCCGTGTTCTTTCCACTCTTTTCTCTGTGCTCTGGGCTGCTACGTTGCAGATACTAATATTTTACCAGTTCAGCCCCAAATTTAACTGGCTTCTCTTAAGGGCCATTACATATTAAGTGACCTAAATCCCTCGAGAAATGGAGCCAAGTTATCAATAAGTATACCTTTCCCAGGGTGTCATAGAGAGGTCCAGGGAAGAAGGGGGCTAACATAGGCAATGACTTGCTTCAGTAAGAAGGCAAGAGGACACTGTCTCATAGAAATGTACATTGATATAATCCCAAGGTTGAAGCAAGACTCAGTCTTGGATTTAATCACCACTCCTCTGATCTGTCCTCAAGGCTTCAACCCCTCACCTTGCTTTGTAGGATCACCGGGTGGCTGGGTGGCATTTTGAGGTCTACAGTGCTGACTAGGGACCAGTCAAGTGAAGTTTATGCCCTAGAGTTTAATTTAAAATAGAAATATGCCACCAGGATCTTATAAACAATGCTTTGAGGCCCCGGCCATTGTATTTTGTTTGTTTCTTGTTTGATTTTGTTTTGTTTTTATTTCCTATTTTTCTACTTTGGACAAACTTTCTTCCTCCATCCACATGTCCAAGTTTTTTGTGGTTGTTATTATTGTTACTTTTATCCCTCCTTCCTCTGTCTGTCTTTTCTTTCTTCTCCTCCTGCATCCAAATTCACTCATGCATTTGCCAAGTATTGACCGAGAGGTAGGGACGAGAGAGAGAGTCAGACAGGATGCAGCGTATGCAGAGATCCACAATTTAGGGGAATCTAGGATCCAAGTGAGGAAATATGAAGCTGGGAGGAAAGCAGTGGCCAGACACTGAACAACCTGGCTTTCTATTTTATGAGTTTTGACTCTATCCCAAAGCTTATATTATGGAGATCCATTAAGAAAGGATGTGTGTGTGTGTGTGTGTGTGTGTATGTGTGTGTGTGTGATGACCCGATTCTGTTTTAAAAAGCTCTGGCTTCCTTAGACCAAGAACGGGCTGGAAGGTGCTGTCTCGAAACAAAGTGTAGACTAACAGAGGGGAGTGGACAGACTGAAGAGAGGTGAAGGAGATAGGAATAGCAGGGCATAGTGACTGTCTCAATGATGGTGTGGAGGGAGAAAGAGGAGTCAAAGATGACTACCAGGCCGGGCACAGTGGCTCACACCTGTAATCCCAGCGCTTTGGGAGACTGAGGCAGGCAGATCAACCTGAGGTCAGGAGTTTGAGACAAGCCTGGCCAACATGGTGAGACCCTGTCGCTATTTAAAAAAAAAAAATTTTTTTTCTGGGCATGGTGGCATGTGCCTGTGATCCCAGCTACTTGGGAGGCTGAGGCAGGAGAATCACTTGAACCCAGGAGGTGGAGGTTGCAGTGAGCCGAGATTGCAACACTGTACTCCAGCCTGGGTGACAGAGTGAGAAAAAAATAAAAGATGACTACCAAGTTTTGGCTTGATCACAAGGGTGGATGGTGTTGCTGATAACAGAGAAGAAGCGGCACTTCTTGTTTCTTGTCAGGGTTGATGATGAGTGACTATGGACATGATGAAGGATAGCCTGAGTTGAGGAAGGGACCATGAATGTACAGTAGGCACTAATTTGGGGAATTTGTGATTTCTCCTGTAGAATTCAACTGTCCAGATAGAAAGGTGGACATGGAAAAATTGGGCTTTGCAAATGGTCACCCAATTCTTGCCTTCCTGGTCTCCAGATCACCCTTCCTATACCGCCACTCTGGAGAAAGAAGTACAGAACGCTAACAAGGTACAACCACTTTCTACCCTGCCAGGACTTGACTTAAAAGATGACTATGCACAGAACATTGTCCAAGATGCTTGCCTTTCCTCTTTGCAGACATGATTTGGCAGGAATGTAGTCTTCCATTTAGGTGATTAAGGATGTGGCTTGATGTTTCTATTTAGCCTTTATGCAGTGGCCTTTGTGAGCCAAGTCAAATCTCACCAAAGTTTCAAGTGAAAAGCAGTTGTTCCTTACCCACTGAATTCAAATATTTTATCAAAAGTGTTCATTAAATGCCTAATGTATGCAGTGAAAAAATAAATATGAGTCACAGAACAACACTTAAAGAAACATGTCCAGAATCCATAACTAAAAAACTAGTATAAAGCAAATCATAGAAGGTAATTTTGGCCTAGGAGTTAGAGGACTAGAATTATTCCAGCCATGTGGCTAAAATGCTTATTGAATAGTGATTTCTGGCACAGTCTCTCGAGTCAGAGTGCCTCGTTCAAATCCTGGCTCTTTCCTTGACTACCTATGCAACTTTGGATTATCACAAAGTAATTAATATACATAAAACACTCACACCAGTATTTCACACAGTGGGTTAGTATTAGATAATGCTGTTGTTATTATAGGTGTTGCTATTATGAGCTATATACCATGAACAATTGAATTCTATCTTTGGGCAGCAATGTCTTTATTCATAAAATGAGGGCAAGATATTATCTTTTCTAACTATGTTCTGAAGTGACTTGGGGCTCCTCTGCCCCATCCCATTCTACATTTTATTCATTTTATCCATCATGTTGGGGTTTCACATATGTTTTTACTTGCAGAAAGGGCTCTGAAAAACAAGTTGCAAATCATTAGGCCAGATGGTGTAAGGTCTGTCTTCAACAAAAGTTTTGATTCTCTGAGTGAAAGACATGCTCTTGACAATGGACAGTGGGATGAAGTGGTCTCAGAGGAGGTGGCCATATACCAGGGGGAGCTTCTTGGAAGAAGTGAGTTGGAAAGTTAAAATCTGGGTGTTTCTAGCAGTTGGTGAACCTGGAAGAGAAGTTGTAATTCCCAAAGAGAGGTGAGTGTGGAACATAGATATAGAACCAAAACTATGCAGGGCGAAAAAGTTTCAAAGACCCAAATCCCTGCAGTAAGGGAAAGAGAGCGAGTAGACAAGGGCTTCAAGATAATTGTCTCAAGTTGAAGTTTGACTAAAGTTTGAAGCAATGAACAAGGTGAGAAAAGATGATTGGCTCTATTGAGGAAAGCAGCACCTCATCTATCCTCTTTTTTGCATGGACAGGAAAGCAATGTTCAGAGGAAGAAAGCCCTTGTCTGTGGGCACAGAATTAGTCACCAACTCTGGTAGCCATTATTAGCTGCGAACCAGCTAGCCATTCCCCCTTTTTCCTTAGCAATAGTAATCCCAACTTTTTAGCTAGGCACATTGCTGATTGAATTAAAGAAAACATTTCTGATATGGCTTGGCTCTGTGACCCACCCAAATCTAATCCTGAACTGTAATCACTACATGTGGACTGAGGGAAGTGATTGGATTATGGGGGCAGTTTCTTCCATGCTGTTTTCGTGATAGTGAATTCTCATGAGATCTGATGGTTTTATAAATGGTAGTTTTCCCTGCACTTACACACACTCTCTCTCACTTGCTGCCATGTACAGCATACCTGCTTCCCCTTCCACCATGATTGTAAGTTTCCTGAGGTCTCACCCGCCGTGCAGAACTGTGAGTCAATTAAACCTCCTTTGTTTATAAACTACGCAGTCTCAAGTATGTCTTTATAGAAGTGTGAAAACAAACTAATACAATTTCCTAGCCTCCCTTGGCATTAGGGATGATCCAAAAATGTCCATGCAAGTTAAGGGCCTCCAGGAAAGAAGTTTTAGAGAGGTACAGTCAGCCAATAGGGACCATTTTGCCCTCCCCATCTTCACTTCTTCTTGTGTCTTACCAGGATGGCTTGGAGTTGCAGTGGTCACCTCAGATCTTAAGGTCACTTTGGAGATGGAACCCCTGTGACTAGGAATGGCAGAACAGAAAGGTAGAAAGAGATTGAGTCCTGGGGATGTGGCAGAGCCACCATCCTAGCCCCGTACTGCGTACTTCTGGACTTCCTTTAAATTGAGAGAAACATGTTCCTACCATATTTAACCATTTGGTGTTCTAAACCCCATTCCTAGCTCTGGAATGCCCTGGCAGAGCTGGTGCTGGCTGGGACCCCAGTGGTCCTTGGTGACCTTGCTCAGCAGTGCTCTTTCCACAAATGACCCCACTACTATCATGTGCAGAACTATCTTGGTGTGTGTGTGTGCATGAGCAGACATCCACAGCCAAGTAATTTTCAAAGCTGTCAGCTCTGCTCTCCTGTAGCCTCCTGCTCCCCACTGCCTTCTCATTTCCACCAGAGGAAGGTGAGGCTGCTGGTGAGGAGCTTTTTCCTTTTCCCTTTTCTGAATTGTTTACTATATTAAACACTCAATATCCACTGCCCAGAATATTATTATGCTAATATTTCTCTGATTTATTTTTACTTTTATTTGTAATTAAAGAAATAAAACACTATAGGTACTATCGCACCCTTTTTATCCTTTCTGTGAGCCTATTCTACTCCTTCTTCCAAAAAGGCATTCTCTTGAACTTGCATGCATTCTGTGTTTTTATGCTTCTATTATGCATATGTCTGAATCCATACGTGATTGATAACATTGTTTTATATGTTTTAAATATGTGTGTAAATGGTATATTAATGTGGTTTGATTTTTTACACAGACCTTGGATTTTTTCAAGATCATCCTTCTTGATGCCTGCATCTAGCTCACGGGAACTCACTGCTGTGCCTGTACAGTGTTTTCCCATTGCTCTATTGATGAACATTTAAATTGTTTTCCAATTTTCAATATTGTAAATAATGCAATAATAAACATCCTCTTACCTGTCCTATTACACACCGGAGTAAGAGTTTTTCTAGGGATTATATTTAGACATAAAACTAGTTGTCATAGGGTATGTATATCCTTACTTTTACAAGGTATTTCTAAATTGCCCTCTAAAGAGATAAAAACAATTTGGACTTCCTCTAGGATGGCAGTGCCCATTTCCCATAAAAACTTGGCATTGCTGAACCTTTCAATTTTTGACAGTTGAATAGGTGTGAAATGCTATCTATTTGCTTTTTAATGGGCATTTCCCTGATTATCAGTGAGGTAGGCCATCTTTTCATATTTTTATAGGCCATTTTGATTTCCATTTCTGTGAACTGCCTGCTTTAATATTTTGTTTTTCTGTTGGGCTGTTTGTCTTTTACTTATTGTTGTCCCCATCTGACTCCCTATCCCATATACACACATTTTTGGAGATTAACCCTTTTTAGGTCACATGCATTGCAAACTTCTCCTCCAAATCTCTCACCTGTCTTTTAGCTTTGTTTATGGTGACTTTGTTCCTACAAGACTATAAACTTGGTCTTAAATTTTAACATAGTCAAATTTATTGATCTTTTTCATTACTTTTGTGTTCTTAAAATTTTTTCTTAATCAGATATTATTAAACTATCTTCCTGAATATTCTTTGAATAGTTTAAAAGATAATTTTTTACTTTAACTTTTAATCCATCTGGAATTTATTTGCAATATTTTGTGTTATTTTGCATATGAAATTGAGCTCTAATGTTAATTTTCCAATATGAAGAGCCAATTTCTGTGACACTATGTATCAAACAGTCTATTCCTTCCCCACTTAGTTGTAATCACCCCATCATGTACCAGTTTTCCAAAATGCCTGGGTCTCTTTCTAGACTTTCTAGTTTATTCCACTGGTCTCTCTATCCCTATACTTCTCTTGCACAATTTTTTTCCTGTGCTTTGATGTCTACAGTGTAAATTCATCTTCTTCATAGTCAGTCTTTTTCAAATTTCTTTGGACTGTTCTTGGCCCTTTGGCTTTCAAATGAATTTTGATTAATCTTTTAATAAAATGCTTCCCTCCTACCTCATTCGACACATACTTCTCTCCCATCTCATTCCTATTCTGAAGGCTACTGCCCTCAAAGATCTAGTTTCCAGCCTTGAATCTGCCACCAAATGCCCGTCTATTCTTGTGCAAGTCCCCTAATCTCTCTGGGTTTCAGTTTCCTCACCTGTCAGGTCTGCTTTGCCTATATCACAGGATTGCTGAGCTGATGAAATGAGATAAAGATGAGAGATGCTTTGAACAGTTCAAAACACCAAGTTAAAGAGTTAAAAACAATAATCTCTATGTGATCTGAGACAAAATGTGAAATTCAGATTATTTCTCCCCCAGTTTTTTCTACACTTTGTGACACTCCTTTCTGTCAAACTTCCAGTGTTTTGCATCTTCCAGTGAGATGCGAAGGTCTTCTGTTCAGGGTAGAATTATTATGTTGATGGGCTGGGGACAGCTGGGATTTATATGCCCTGGGTCCCATTTTGGATTCTCTCTTTGTGACTTAATGTAAGGCACTTAAACTCTTTGAATCTCAATTTCTTCACCTTTAAGAAGAATATTAAAAATTCTCTCCCCCAAGTAGTATTGTGTTTTTGTTTTTGTTTTTGAGACAGAGTCTTGCTCTGTTGACCAGGCGGGAGTGCAGTGGTACGATCTCGGCTCACTGCAATGTCTGTCTCCTGGATTCAAGCAATTCTCATGCCTCGGCCTCCCAAGTAGCTGAGACCACAGGAGCACACCACCACACCTAGATAGTTTTTGTATTTTTAGTAGAGACAGGTTTTCCCTATGTTGGCCAGGCTGGTCTTGAACTCCTCACCTCAAATGATCTGCTGGCCTCAGCCTCTCAAAGTGCTGGGATTATAAGTAGCATTGTGAAATTCAAGAGATTTAGTATAGGTTAACTGTTACATAAAATGTGAAGCCCTATAAGAATCATGAGCCATTATTATGAATGTTCTTGCTGACATATGCATGCAGAAAGGACTTACAGAAAGGCAATGATGTTTCTCACCACTTGAATCGAACCATGTAGGATAATCAAAACCATTTTTGTCTACAAGTATGGTTGGCCCAGTGCAATGTCTTCACAGTCTTCTAGAAGATGCAGGAAATCTTTTTCAAAAATAATATGTCCTTTAGGCTTTGCAGCCTGGATGTGTGGAAAAGTGGAGGTAGCTGGGGAGTTCGTCTTGTCCATCTGGACAAACAGGAAGAACTATCCTTATGCAGTGCTGGCTCACCACTGACCCGAGGGAGTGAGAACGTGGGGACTAAAGGGTGGGAACAAATCAGTCTTTGTACCTTCCTTGCTGAGTGTGGATACCATTCAGTTAGATTGAACATTGAGGTCAGCCCTGATGTAATGTGAGAGCACTTCCCCTGGAGTGAGCAGATGGTTTTGCCTTCCCAGCCCCTTAAATGTTTTTAACCCTTGCTACTCAGGTGACCAGAGCATCTTCATTTCCTGCACCAGGATCAGACTTGGGCTTGAGCCAATGACATTCATGGGCCAGATGACCCAAAGCTGTAGTCCACCTGCTTACTGTAACACAGAATGCCCTTTTCCCCACTAAGTTCTTACCCTTTCCTCAGTTCTGTTGAAATAAGATTTCTGACCTGTTCTTTAGCCACTTCCATGGCTGACCATGAACTCTACTCTTTTGACCACCAGTACCTGCTGAAAGTTGCTGGAATCCTTCTAAGCCAATATCAGGACTACCTGTCCTGCCCTGCCCTGCCCTCAGCCTCTGCCAATGCCACTTCTTTGCTGTTGTTTGGGCAGAACCCTGGATTTGGATGTTGGTTTGGATCTTAGTCCCCAGAACTTACAATCTGCTTGTTTTTTTCCTCTGGGGTCCACACCATATCCAACCCAATCTCATCATTCTGCCATGCTCACGTTATCCCTGCCTGCTCTTGCTCTCATGTTCATACATCCTCAAAGAGTCCACTCTCCTTCAAGGCCATACCTCATTTCTCCTTACACTATAGATGAAACACATGACTATTTTCCTTCTGATTCCTAAGTTCTGAGTCTAGGACCACTTTGTAATCAGGTTTAATTCCAGACCACAGCTGACCTTTTATTTTTTTCACATGTAAAAGTGAAGCTTAGGTACAGGTATTCTAGAAGTAGCTGTGATTATTTGCTTAAATCATCTTTCATGAATGAAGGACATATTACCCTAGCTATTGGGAGTTGACCTCGGAGAAGAAAGCTGACTTAGTTACACCAGCAATTCTCCCCAACACACATACACAGGGCAGCCCGTATCCTGTGACTGCTTGATGTGGTCATAGCAATCAGAGAAAGAGTTTAAAGTCTCAGCCCCTCTTGATAACTCTGAGAGGCCATCCCATTTTAGGTATCCCCAAGGGGTCAGCTGGACCTTGTGATGAGCCCAAAGTCCAGCTCCTCCCTCTGCCTATTCTGCCTCTTTTAATTCCACTCCTCTGCAGTGGCTGATCCCGAAAGCCCTCTTACTTCCAACACACACACCTTCATCTCAGAGTTTGATGCTTGGGGACCCCAACCTGCAACAGGTATCCACAACTATTTCCTTGCTCAACCAACCAACTCTCTACTGACTCACCATCTTTCCTCCCCATGGTAGGCAGAATAATGCCCATCTCTACTCAAAGATGCCTGTGCCCTAATCCCCAGGAACTTGCGAATGTGTTGCCTTATATGTCAAGAGGGACTTTGCGGATGTAATTAAAAGTCATTGAACTCAAGATAGGGAGATTATTCTGCATCATTCAGGTGGATCCAGCCTAATCATATGAGCCCTTAAAAGTGGAAAACCTTTCTTGGCTGTGGCCAGAGATGGACTACAGAAGAATGGTCAGGGAGATGCAATGTTGCTGCCTTTGAAGATGGAGGAAGGAGCCATCAGCCAAGGAATGCAGGCAACCTCTAGAAGCTGGAAAGGGCAAGGAAATAGATTCTTTTCAGAGTCTCCAGAAAGGAGCCCAGCACTGCTGGTACCTTGATTTTAGTCCAGTGTGACCCTTGTCAGACCTCTGACCTACAGAACTGTATGTAAAACAATGAATTTGTGTTGCTTTAAGCCACTAAAGTTTGCAATAATTAATTATAGCAGCAATGGGAAACTGATACAGTCCCTTAGGAGTCATCTTAATACTTGCTCTTTTGCATGATCTTGGACATGCCCTTCACTGGTCTGAGCCTTAATTTTCTCACCTGTAAAACGACAATTTTAGACTACATGCTCCAAAGCCTTTTTCAACCTGACATTTTTTCATTCTAACTATATGGATTACCTACTTTGCAACATTTATCTTTTTATTCTAGCAAGGCAGAGTTTACTTGTCTTTTTGATGATTATTCTGGGAAAACCTATTTGAGATGCTGCAGGAAGCAACAGAATGGCCATACAACAGGATGAGGAGTGAGATACTCTTTTTCTTTGTCTAACTCTTCTGGTCTGTCTTTATGTTGATTTCTAAATTTTCTATTCTGTAACTCCTTATGGCCATGGGAAAAATGCTTCTCAGCTGGTGACCAATTTATTAAACAAAGCTAGATGGCTAATAGATTTTGTCATTTTGCTTTTTGCTAGTGGACCTGCAAATACATTTTTATTTTTTGGTTATGCTGAAAATAATTTGTGAAAAATGGTAGTTACCATGCTTTTAAGTGGGATCAAAGGTAGCAGTGTTCTGACTGCTGGTTAAAGTTAACTCAGCCTCTAGGAAAATCCACCACTTTTCAGATTAAAAAAAAAAAAGTCCCTAGCCTGAATTTTGTCAGGAGAATGTATAATAAAATGCCACTGTAATTAAAATACTTATAAACCCGCAAGACACAGCTGTTGTGAAAGGAAAACAGGATGCTAAAATGGGATAAAAGGAGACCCTTGTCTGGCTCCTTTGCCCTCCCAGTGGGTATCTAATACAGTTGCCATTAACTGCTCTGTGTTAAGAAAAGCTGAGCTGACCCCAAAACAATAATGGCAGTAGCAGAATTCTAATGATGACTTTCTTCCACACTTATCTAGATGGTATGCTTTTCAAAGCACTTTCTGTCTACTCACTGATTTGAGCCTCAAGTTCTCAGTATTTCCCTAAGAAAGTAGGGGAAGTAGAGAGGGTGAACATCATCCACTTGATTTGACAGATGAGAAAAACATGGCTTCCTTGGAGTCTAAATTAAACTTGTGTCATCACAGCAGCCAACAGCAGGTCTGGGGCCGGGGGCTGGTCTCCGTGTTGAGGTCTAGGTTGACTATAGCTCATTGCTCCTGGCAGTTGGAGTCACCCAACACAGGGTCAAACACAGTCTCCAAAGACTTTACACTGCAAACCTAGAGCCACTGTAACAGTTCTTTTTGCACTCAGTAACAAAAAAAAAAGTCACTGGAAAATTATTCACTAAAGTTAGCTAGGAAAAGACCAAAGAGTTGAAGGGAAGAAAAAACTATAAGAAACCAAGAAGTGGATTTCAGACTGTCACCTGCCTACTAGGGTTTGTGATGCTGGCCACACAGTGTTGTTTCCAAACATACCAAACTGGAGGGCACCCATTTTCTTCCCTCTTGGGGCCCCACTCACATTCCTTGGAGAAATTTCCAAGAACCCTCTACATTATGGCCTCTATAAACTGAAATCACCAACATTAATACTATTTGCTCCTCCTCACCAACCCAGGTGCAATTAGGCTGACCAGCCTTGAAAAAAGTAAGATGACCTGAGGTCAGTAGCATGTAGTGGAATAAAAAAGAATAATTTTCCTAGATATCCCAACTCATTTGAACAATGAGGAATTGAGACTAAGTCTCTTCAAAGATTCCATTTATTTTGGTAAGATGCCATTTTACATTTAGTGTAGTAATACAATTTTGACTTAAAAGGCCAGGGTTTGAGAACCAAGTGGCCAGTTTGACTGGGCTATCATGTGATCATCATGGTCATTATCCCTTGGTCTCCTTGAGGGTCAGTTCTTTCATCTATAAAATAGATATGATCATAGCGAATCTCCTTTTCACTATACAAGGTTGTCATGAGAATCAAATAAATAAATGCTAAAGCACTACACAAGAGATGTTATGATTTTATCTTTGGCAGTAGTGCTAATCATTATAATAGCAGCCTATTAATAACAATGATATTACAAGAAACAGCAATTGTGGTAGTGTTGGTAAGGTACTTCTGGAATTATTTATATATGTGGCTACTTGCTGGAAAAGCCACCCATGTGTTGAGATAATGTGTATTGTGCTCTTTCTTGAATTATCTCCTTGGGACTTTACAACCCTAAGAGGTATATCTTATTACTGTCATTACACACACGCACACTCAAAAAAAGAAAAACCAACCAACCAGTCAACAAACAAAAAGCTAAAGCAGAGAGAGAGAGAGAGACAGTGAGTTAGTTTGAAAGCTAGTATCTTGAAACCCCAGTGAGTTCTGCTGACTTCCAGCACTGGCAGGCACACCTACCACTTCCAGTGGAGAACAACCTTGAAACCTAGAATCTTTAGGACCTTGTTGCCAGTGGCTTATTGCCTTAACCATGAGAAGGGGATATAGCTGGCATTAGAAGTTCCTCCATATAGGGAAGAACAATTGACCATTCAAAGAGTCATTGATAAGTTAACTAATCCCTGCTCTGTGAGATATATATGAATGCCAGTAAAAGTTTCCTCAGCAAGAAGGTTCTAATGCTATGATCTTTCCTGACAGCACTCACAGTGTGTGCTACCCTTCTGCATGGTGGAATTGTGGGGAAGTAACTACTAGCCAGAGACTACCTCAAGGCCTCTTTCATCAAGGAGAGGCCCATATGATTAGTTTTCACCAGTGAGGTATGAATGAAAGTGATGTGTGCCAATTTTAGGCCAAGTTGGGTAGGAAGTGGGGGTGTCATCTTCATTTTCTCCTTCCCAATCAACCCAGCTAGATACAGAGGACCTAACATACAACTCAGAGTCCCTAGAAGATGGAGAAAACACAGACAATTGGCAGGTGGGTTTCTGAACCATTATTTGGACAAAAACTCTTTTGGCTATTATATGAGTGAAATGTGATCCATTTTATTAAGCCATCAAAGTTTGAATGTTATCTGTTACAACAGCTATTCTATTATAGATCCCAATGAAAAGAGATCCACCAGTATTTCAGACCTAATCCTAATCCTCTGCCATCTTTGAGGCTATTACCCTCCTCCCCCACTGATGCCAGCGCATCCATCTTGAGCAGCTTTCTTTGTGCTTAATATAAGTATAGAACAGCTGGTCTGCTTGTCAAACAACCAATAAATCGATGCCTGGCAAAACAGTAGTTTTTATCAGCAAGTGACCTTAAGATAAACTTTATATTGCTAGGAAATCATTCCAACCCCAAATCAGTGGCACCCCAACTCAGGCCTCCCTGGTGGCATGAGGAAGGAAAACTAATGAAGTATGGAGGCTATTAATGGCTTTATCTTTTCTCTCACCCATTCCCTCTCCTTTTTTCAAATTTGCAATTATGTTCAGCAGTGTCAGATCTGTTCATCTATTTTTGACATATAAATAGAACCTATCCCTTTTAAATTTTTCAGAGGAGATGAGCATGTGATTATTGTTACCACTTGTCTGGAAGCAACCAGAATGGAGTGGGGAAGACTCAAGGAGGAGATCTTCACAGGACTCACCTCTCATCACAGCTCCCGTGTGGTTGTAATCACCCCAGAGGGAAAAATAATTTCGGTTTTTTATGGTTTAATTATTGGTGATAGCAGCTGTTTTGAAGACACAAACACAGAAGCAAGTTCTAGAACATACTCACAGTTTCCTTGGTCACAGTGTTGTCAGTGGTTCTATAAAGGTCTTATGAATCTCTACTTAGTTGACCACAAGTAGTAAGCAAGAAACAATCCTGTAAAGAGAATGGAGGTCAGAATAAAGAAGCCTTGAGGGTTTAAATCGCTTCTTGAAAAGGTAATAATATTTACTCTTTTAAAAATTATAAACAATACATGTTCCTTTTACAGAAAAAAAAGAAAAAAATAAGGAAACAGGACATAAAACTCATCTGTTATTCCACCATCTAGATACAACTACTGTTAACCCAGGAACACTTAAAGAGTGTTTCATGAATATTTATGTATACATGCAAATATATTTTCTATCGGTCTTAGTTTACAAAACAGGGATCCTATTGTCCTTGCTGTTTTGTGACCTTTTCTTTCATTGAATAAGATATTAATGAATATCCTTTGCCAGTAAATAAACTTCAACTCTGTGGTGGACACATTCTAAGATGATTCCCTTTGATCCCCACCCCCTTGTGTTCTCACCATTGTATAACTGTGTGATCACTCCATTTGAGTGTGGGCTGAACTTCTGACTTACATCCAACCAATTGAATATCACAGTGTTGGGATATCATTTCCAAGATTAGGTTACAAGAAGACTCTATCTTCTTGCTCATGCTCTCTTATTCTCTGGCTTGCTTTCTGCCATGGAGCCAACTGCCATGTCATCAACTGTCTGCCCTACAGAAATGCCCGTGTGTCAAGGAGCTAAGGGAGACCAGCCCAGGAGGAGCTGAATCCTGCCAACAATCACTTGAGTGAACTTGAGAGTGAATCCTCTCCATGTTAAGCCTTGAGGTGATTGTAGCTCCATCAAATACCTTCATTGTAGCCTTGTGAGAGATCTGAGTCAGAGGATGGAGTTAAGCCAAGCCCAGATTCCAGACCCTCAGAAACTGTGAGATAATAAATTTGTTGTTCTAAGCTACTAAGTTTTGGTGTAAAACAGCCATAGATAACTGATACAAATCACATAATTTTTAATAGCTGCTTCATATGTTAATATGTCTGTACCATAATTTACTCAATCTTTTGTTGCTGCACATTTTGGTTATTTTGTTTTGCTATTATAAACAGGGCTGCAATGAATATTATTGTACTTAAACATTGGTACACGTTCTTCTTTCCTAAGGATAAATTCCTTGAAGTAAAATAGCTGGCTTTCAATGGGTATGCATTTTTTTAAAGCTTTTGGTATGTTATTCCCCAATCACTTTCTGTTAGGATTGTATTCATTTACAGTCCTGCTGGCTGTAGTTCAGGTTAATTTCAACTACTTTATCTTGAGTTGTCTCCATGAAAACCAGTTAGAAACCGAAACCAAAGCCCCAAACAAGAAAAGCCCCAAACAAGAACCCAGGAAAGAAAACTAAGGTTGAATCTTGAAAACTATGAGATAAATTTGAAGCTAAACAATTTTCAAAGTACCATTGTTTTGAAATAAGTCTGATAAATTCAACCACCCTCAAATTGTTATTCTTATCTTTCAATGGACACAGAAGTCCTGAAAATGTGGTGATACTCATAGTCTTCACGAACTTTGAAAGGGAAAACAACAATTTCTCTGGTTGAAGTCAACATAACAATAGGCTAGTTTGAAAATCCTGTTTTTTTTCAGTTGCACAAAGGATTGTCAATAAATTCAACTTTTTAAATTACTAAGCTGGATAAACTGAATTCAATAGATTTTTTGGAAGCATTTTGTATACATAGATACCACCACCATTTCCAAATTGCAACCCTTACTGTTGGGGAAGAGTAAATATTTTAATGAATGCTATATATTTTAACAAGCTCTGAACTCTGCGGTTGGTTTAAGCTAAGGGTGCAATTTCAGGCATCTAAATAAGTAAATAAATGAGGAAGAAAATCCATATTAATTGCAGTAATTTGCGGCACTTTCAAATTCTTAATTAAGAAATAAAATAGGATTCATTAGCCATGCCCAGTGTAGATGGCATACATAGATCACCATTATGACCAGACACAAGACCTGAAGTCATTGCCATAAATGAAATAACAGAGAAAAATCACTGGTGCATTATTGGCCAGAATATGCAGGCACAAAGAGGGAGGAGAGAGGGGAGAGAGACACATAAAATGCCTGTCCTCCAAAACCTGGCCTGGGGATTGCATTATCCCAAAACATCTCCCCTGAGCCTGGAATCCTGCCTCCTCCTAATTTTGGGGATTGGTTCCTCCCTCAAGCCTCACACAAAACTTCTCTTAGCCTGTCTGACAACCCTGCCAGTGCTTACTTTTTAAACTTTATCAATCATCTGCCCCAGGTCTTTTGTGTACCTGGACTTCAGGTCTCTTTGTCTGCTTCATTTTCTTAGTGAGTCTTAATATATATATATATATTTTAAAAACTGGGAAGAAGAAAAGAACTTTGGTTATAACCAGAAGCATTCTGACTCATGCTGCTTTTTAAAAATTAAGCATTAAATTAGAGAGAGCACATAATTTACTATTAGAAAAATTGCTTTTGACTGGGACAAATGTTTCTCTGGACAGGGCACCAGACATTAATTGGGACTGTTCCTGGCAATCCAAGATGCTTGGTGCCTCTAATGAAAGCCCATGCAGGCCCCCAGGGGAGGGGGAAGGTGGCAGTGGGCATGAGTTTTCAGGCATGTAAGGGGAGCTCTGCTCTGGTTATGTGGGCTGTGGGGGTAATCTCAATGTGTGCTTGTTTGGAAGAAAGAGCACTGATGTACCTGGCTGTGGGCAGAGATGGCTGGTCATTGTATTCCTGGTGAGAACACAAATGTAGACTATAGGCATGTATCCCTTGGGCCTTCCCTTTCCTGCTGTTCTACCTATCTTAGTGTTGATATCCAGGTAGGCATGAACACTCTGTGGAGACAGGCACGGGCAGGTGTGGGCAGCCAATTGCATTCAGCTCAGCAGTGAGAAGGGTACAGAGTACAGGGCATGAGCAATTTGAAGAGGTCTGGAAACTCAAGGTGAAGAAAGAAAAGAAAGAAAATAATACACTGAAGATCTCTAAAAGAAATTGAAGAATCTTGTCTGGGATTAGACATTGAAAAATTTTGGACAGGTAGCAAAGTTTTTGGTGTTACTTGTAGACTCAAGCAAATCAGAAATGAGCATATACACTTCTCAAAACCTATTATATCTTCATGTGGAAGGCATAAGAATAGTCTGAGACATACTTTTTGTTTTGGGGGCACTTATGGGTTGCTTCCTTAAGTCAAAGGCTCCCTTTCCTTTGAAATGGAAAGCAGAGAGAAAGCTGGACTCTGCTAGCCCTACTTACTGAACCATGCAAATCCTTTCTTGGGGAAGGCCATCCACTATTCCACACCCATGATGAAGACCCTCATGGAATTTACGAGAGGTGCAATAAATGTTCACGTCTTGCAATGTTCCATTTCCCAGAGGATCCTTCCTCCCTGGCCACATCCGGACAGAGTCCAGACCTTTGGGGGCTCAGAGGCCTGTTGCTGTGGGTAATGTGAATGATTATTTCCATTCCTTACCAAAACAGGGGGAGAACAGCATCATTATGCCTTTAATTTTCTGAAGATTTATGGTAAAGCAGATACAGAGCTTTTCCAATTTTAGAAGTAAGACAAAGAGAAACAAATTCAAAATACATCCATAAAAACTGAGGCTAGACACCAGACTAGGAAAAGAAAAACCGACTATATAGAGTTTTCCTGTAGAATTCACTATTTCCTGTGTGCTAGGTACTCTAACTTGGCACAGATAGTGAGTGAGAGTAGTATGCTGACAAGACATAACAAAGGATGAGAAAAAAGTAGGCAGGAGATGTCAGAGCCATGACAAGCCCTGGGAAGTATGCTTTATTACGCTGTTGCAAGGAAGATCAAGGAGAATTCATTGTTAAAGTTCTTTTGAGGACAGGCCTGAAATACAGTTATATCTCAATTATTACATTTGAGAATTGTTTGTTCATTCCTTTATTTATTCATTTTATTATTAGCTATTAATATTAACAAACATTAATTGAGCATTTTCTCTTTGTCAGATATAGCGTTAGGTGCTAGAGATTTAGGGGAGGAAAATTGGGATATACAGCTTTTTAAAAAGAGCTTTACTTTTAAGACAGTGTTGTTAAGATAGCCCTGCCCACTTCCTTTTGAATTTGTTCCAAGACAATAATAATAAGAAACAGAAATGCAAACCTCACCTTTGTTGAGGAAGGGCTGCCAAAAGCAGTAAAGTTCCAACCTAGGGCAGGTAGATGCTGAAAGGTGTCTGCTGCCAAAGACCTCAAGCAAAGCTCGCAGAGCACAGAGTTTGCCAAAGAGGGCAGAACCAACACCGTCTTTTGGGGGTCAACTGGTCTAAGGTGAATGGCTGCCTGTAAAAGCATCCCTGGACTCTTCCATTAAGAAAAGGGGAGGTGGTATAAATAAGAAAACACTTAAAAATTCTATTTAAGCTTGTCTGTTGGGAAGGCAGGTTAGAGAAGATAGGTTCCACTTTAATTGGTCTTGGCAACTGACAATCTCTTTTTTTTTTTCTGGAAAAAGGTAAAGGCTAAATTAACTTGTACACATATCCACACACACAACCTTGTGTGTTGTCAGGCACATCCCTATAAACTAGAGAGATGCTACTGGATGACATTATAGGCTGGCTCTTCACGCCTTCCTTTTTCTGCAAAATAGCTGGTTAAGAAAGAGCTTATCTCAGTCAAATATGAGCCAGAATTAAACAGAAACCATCAGAAGAACTCTACAAAGATATTGCAAGAAAAGAAGGTAATGATAAAAGGAAACAGACAAAGAACAAGTACCAAATTGTGTTACCATCAAGCTAAAGGAAACTGTGCCAAGCAAACTATCATAGACAGTGGCTGGCAAGATGGCTGCATAGAAACAGCTCCAGTCTGCAGCTCTCAGTGAGATCAGTACAGAAGGCAGGTGATTTCTGCATTTCCAACTGCGGTACCCAGCTCATCTCATTGGGACTGGTTAGACAGTGGATCCAGCCCATTTAGGGCGAGCAGAAGCAGGGTGGGGCGTTGCCTCACCTGGGAAGCACAAAGGATCAAAGAACTCCCTCTTCTATTCAAGGGAAGCCATGAGGGACTGTGCCTTGAGGAACAGTGCATTCTGGCTCAGATACTATTCTTTTCCCATGGTCTTTGCAACCCACAGACCAGGAGATTCCCTTGGGTGCCTACACCACCGGGGCCCTGGGTTTCAAGCACAAAAGTAGGTGGTTGTTTGGGCAGACACCAAGCTAGCTGCAGGAGTTTTTCTTCATACCCCAGTGGCACCTGGAACGCCAGTGAGACAGAACCATTCACTTCCCTGGAAAGGGGGCTGAAGCCAGGGAGCCAAGTGGTCTAGGTCAGCGGATCCCACCCCTATGGAGCCCAGCAAGCTAAGATCCACTGGCTTGAAATTCTTGCTGCCAGCACAGCAGTCTGAAGTCAGCCTGGGATGCTCGAGGTTGGTTGGGGTAAGGGCATCCGCCATTACTGAGGCTTGAGTAGGTGGTTTTCCTCTCACAGTATAAACAACGCCACCAGGAAGTTTGGACTCAGTGGAGCCCACCGCAGCTCTACAAAGCTGCTGTAGCCAGACTGCTTCTCTAAATTCCTCCTCCCTGGGCAGGGTATCTCTGAAAGAAAGGCAGCAGCCCCAGTCATGGGCTTATAGATAAAACTCCCATCTCCGTGGGACAAAGCACCTGGGGGAAGGGGTGGCTGTGGGTGCAGCTTCAGTAGACTTAAATGTTCCTGCCTGCCGACTCTGAAGAGATCAGCAGATCTCCCAGCACAGCACTTGAGCTCTGCTAAGGGACAGACTGCCTCCTAAAGTGGGTCCCTGACCCCCATGCCTTCTTACTGGGAGATGCCTCCTAGCAGGGGTCGACAGACACCTCATACAGGAGAGCTCCGGCTGGCATCTTGTGGGTACCCCCCTGGGACAAAGCATCCAAAGGAAGGAACAGGCAGCAATCTTTGCTGTTGTGCAGCTTCCACTGGTGATACCCAGGCAAACAAGGTCTGGAGTGGACCTCCAGCAAGCTCCAGCAGACCTGCTGCAGAGGGGCCTGGCTGTTAGAAGGAAAACTAACAAACAGAAAGGAATAGCATCATCATCAACAAAAATGATGTCCACACAAAAACCCCATCCAAAGGTCACCAACATCAAAGACCAAAAGTAGATAAATCCATGAAGATGAGGAAAAACCAGTGCAAAAAGGCTGAAAACTCCAAAAACCAGAACTCCTCTTCTCCAAAGGATCACAACTCCCCGCCAGCAAGGGAATAAAACTGGATGGAGAATGAGTTTGATGAATTGACAGAAGTAGGCTTCAGAAGGCGGGTAATAACAAACTCCTCCAAGCTAAAGAAGCATGTTCTAACCCAATGCAAGGAAGCCAAGAACCTTGAAAAAAGGTTAGAGGAATTGCTAACTAGAATAACCAGTTTAGAGAAGAACATCAATGACCTGACGGAGCTGAAAAACACAGCACAAGAACTTCATGAAGCATACACAAGTATCAATAGCCGAATCGATCAAGTGGAAGAAAGGATATCAGAGATTGAAGATCAACTTAATGAAATAAAGGATGAAGACAAGATTAGAGAAAAAGGAATGAAAAGGAACAAACAAAGCCTCCAAGAAATATGGGACTATGTGAAAAGACCAAACCTACGTTTGACTGGTGTACCTGAAAGTGATGGGGAGAATGGAACCAAGTTGGAAAACACTCTTCAGGATATTGTTCAGGACAACTTCCCCAGCCTCGCAAGGCAGGCCAACATTCAAATTCAGGAAATACTGAAAATGCCACAAAGATACTTCTCAAGAAGAGCAACCCCAAGAAACATAATCATCACCTTCACCAAGGTTGAAATTAAGGAAAAAATGTTAAGGGCAGTCAGAGAGAAAGGTCGGGTTACCCACAAAGAGAAGCTCACCAGACTAACAGCAGATCTCTCTGCAGAAACCTTACAAACCAGAAGAGAGTGGGGGCCAATATTCAAAATTCTTAAAACAAAGAGTTTTCAATCCAGAATTTCATATCCAGCCAAACTAATCTTCATAAGAGAAGGAGAAATAAAATCCTTTACAGACAAGCAATTGCTGAGAGATTTTGTCACCACCAGGCCCGCCTTACAAGAGCTCCTGAAGGAAGCACTAAATATGGAAAGGAAAAACCGGTACCAGCCACTGCAAAAACATACCAAATTGTAAAGACCATCAATACTATGAAGAAACTGCATCAACTAATGGGCAAAATAACCAGCTATCATGATAATGACAGGATCAAATTCACACATAACGATATTAACCTTAAATGTAAATGGGCTAAATGTCCCAGTTAAAAGACACAGGCTGGAAAATTGGATAAAGAGTCAAGACCAATTACTGTGCTGTATTCAGAAGACCCATCTCATGTGCAAAGACACACATAGGCTCAAAATAAAGGGATGGAGGAAGATTTACCAAGCAAATGGAAAGCAAAAAAAGCAGGCGTTGCAATCCTAGTCTCTGATAAAACAGACTTTAAACCAACAAAGATAAAAAAAGACAAAGAAGGGCATTACATAATGGTAAAGGGATCAATGCAACAAGAAGAGATAACTATCATATATATATATATATATATATATATATATATATATATATATATATCCTAAATATATATATATATATATCCTAAATATATATATAACCTAAACATATATCTATATCTATATCCTAAATATATATCCTAAATATATGCACCCAATACAGGAGCACCCATATTCATAAAGCAAGTTCTTAGAGACATACAAAGAGACTTAGACTCCCACACAATAATAGTGTATTAACACCCCACTGTCAATATTTGACAGATCAATGAGACAGAAAATTAACAAGGATATTCAGGACTTGAACTCAGCTCTGGACCAAGCAGACATCTAAAGAACTCCCCACCCCAAGTCAACAGAATATACATTCTTCTCAACACCACATCGCACTTATTCTAAAATTGACCACATAATTGGAAAACCCTCCCTCAGCAAATGCAAAAGAACAGAAATCATAACTGTCTCTCAGACCACAGTGCAATCAAATTAGAACTCAGGATTAAGAAACTCACTCAGAACTGCACAACTATGTGGAAACTGAACAACCTGCTCCTGAATGAATACTGGGTACATAACGAAATTAAGGCAGAAATAAATAAGTTCTTTGAAACCAATGAGAAGAAAGACACAACATACCAGGATCTCTGGGACACAGCTAAAGCAGTGTTTAAAGGGAAATTTATAGCATTAAATGCCCACAGGAGAAAGTGGGAAAGATCTAGAGTCGACACCCTTACATCACAATTAAAAGAACTAGAGAAGCAAGAGCAAACAAATTCAAAAGCTAGCAAAAGACAAGAAATAACTAAGATCAGAGCAGAATTGAAGGAGATAGAGACACAAAAAACCCTTCAAAAAATTAATGAATCCAGGAGCTGGTTTTTTGAAAAGATTAACAAAATAGATAGACTGCTAGCCAGACCAATAAAGAAGAAAAGAGAGAAGAATCAAATAGACACAATAAAAAATGATAAAGGAGATATCACCACTGAACCTACGGAAATGCAAACTACTATCAGAGAATACTATAAACACCTCTATGCAAATAAACTAGAAAATCTAGAAGAAATGGATAAATTCCTGGACACATACACCCTCCCAAGACTAAACCAGGAAGAAGTTGAATCCCTGAATAGACCAACAACAAGTTCTGAAATTGAGGCAATAATTAATAGCCTACCAACCAAAAAAAGCCCAGGACCGGATGGATTCACAGCTAAATTATACCAGAGGTACAAAGAGGAGCTGGTACCACTCCTTCTGAAACTATTCCAAACAGTAGGAAAAGAGGGACCCCTCCCTAACTCATTTTACTGGGCCAACATCATCCTGATACCAAAACCTGGCAGACACACAACAAAAAAAGAAAATTTCTGGCCAATATCCCTGATGAACATTGATGCAAAAATCCTCAATAAAATACGGGCAAACCAAATCCAGCAGCACATCAAAAAGCTTATCCGCCACGATCAAATGGGCTTCAACCCCGGGATGCAAGGGGGTTCAATATACACAAATCAATAAACGTAATCCATCACATAAACAGAATCAATGACAAAAACCACATGATTATCTCAACAGATGCAGAAAAGGCCTTCAATAAAATTCAACACCCATTCATGCTAAAAACTCCCAATAAACTAGGTATTGATGGAATGTATCTCAAAATATTAAGAGCTGTTTATGAAAAACCCACAGCCAATATCATACTGAATGGGCAAAAACAGGAAGCATTTCCTTTGAAAACTGGCACAAGACAAGTATGCCCTCTCTTACCACTCCTATTCAACATAGTATTGGAAGTTCTGGCCAGGGCAATCAGGCAAGAGAAAAAATAAAGGATATTCAAATAGGAAGAGAGGAAGTCAAATTGTTTCTGTTTGCAGATGACATGATTGTATATTTAGAAAACCCCATCATCTCAGCCCAAAATCTCCTTAAGCTGATCAGCAACTTCAGCAAAGCCTCAGGATACAAAATCAATGTGCAAAAGTCACAAGCATTCCTATACATCAATCATAGACAAACAAAGAGCCAAATCATGAGTGAACTCCTGTTCGCAACTGCTACAAAGAGAATAAAATATCTAAGAATCCAACTTACAAGGGATGTGAAGGACCTCTTCAAGGAGAACTGCAAACCACTGCTCAAGGAAATAAGAGAGGACACAAAAACAAATGGAAAAACACTTGATGCTCATGGATAGGAAGAATCAATATTATGAAATGGCCATACTGCCCAAAGTAATTTATAGATTTAATGCTATCCCCATCAAGCTACCATTGGCTTTCTTCTCATAATTAGAAAAAACTACTTTAAATTTCACATGGAACCAAAAAAGAGCCCATGTAGCTAAGACAATCCTAAGCAAAAAGAACAAAGCCGGAGGCATGATGCTACCTGACTTCAAACCATACTACAACGCTACAGTAACCAAAACAGCATGGTACTGGTACCAAAGCAGATATATAGACCAATGGAACAGAACAGAGGCCTCAGGAGTAATGCCACACATCTACAACCATCTGATCTTTGACAAACCTGACAAAAACAAGCAATGGAGAAAGGATTCCCTATTTAATAAATGGTGTTGGGAGAACTGGCTAGCCATATGCAGAAAACTGAACCTGGACCCCTTCCTTACACCTTATACAAAAATTAATTTAAGATGGATTAAAGACTTAAATGTAAGACCTAAAACCACAGAAACCCTAGAAAGAAACCTAGGCATTACCATTCAGGACATAGGCATGGGCAAAGACTTCATGACTAAAACACCAAAAGCAATGGCAACAAAAGCCAGAATTGACAAATGGGATCTAATTAAATTAAAGAGCTTCTGCACAGCAAAAGAAACTATCATCAGAGTGAACAGGCAACCTGCAGAATGGAAGAAAATTTTTGCATTCTATCCATCTGACAAAGGGCTAATATCCAGAATCTATAAGAAACTTAAACAAATTAAGAAGAAAAAAACACACAACCCCATCAAAAAATGGGCGAAGGATATGGACAGACACTTCTCAAAAGAAGACATTTATGTGACCAACAAACATATGAAAAAAAGCTCATCATCACCGGTCATTAGAGAAATGCAAATCAAAACCACAATGCGATACCATCTCACACCAGTTAGAATGGCTATCATTAAAAAGTCAGAAAACAACAGATGCTGGAGAGGATGTGGAAAATAGGAATGCTTTTACACTGTTGGTGGGAGTGTAAATTAGTTCAACCACTGTGGAAGACAGTGTGGCGATTCCTCAAGGATCTAGAACCAGAAATACCATTTGACCCAGCAATCCCATTACTGGGTATATACCGAAAGGATTATAAATCATGCCACTATAAAGACATATGCATACGTGTATTTACTGCAGCACTATCCACAATAGCAAAGACTTGGAACCCACCCAAATGCCCATCAATGATAGACTGGATAAAGAAAATGTGGCACAAATACACCACGGAATACTATGCAGCATGAAAAAGAATGAGTTCATGTTCCTTGCGGGGACATGGATGAAGCTGGAAACCATCATTCTCAGCAAACTAACACAGGAACTGTAAACCAAACACTGCATATTCTCACTCATAAGGGGGAGTTGAACAACGAGAACACATGGACACAGGGAGGGGAACATCTCACACCATGGCCTGTCATGGGGTCGGGGGCTAGGGGAAGGATAGCATTAGGAGAAATACCTAATGTAGATGATGGGTTGATGGGTGCAGCAAACCACCATGGCACGTGTATACCTATGTAACAAACCTGTACATTCTGCACATGTACCCCAGAACTTAAAGTATAATAAAAAAAACTATTATAGACAAACATACAAATAAAAAAACAACAAGCCTCAATGAAACAAATCATTATATAAAATAAAATATCAAGAAAGACATGTCCAGACAACTGAAAGAGCAAAAAATGAGCTAGCAGAGCTCAGGAAAGTTGTAAAGGAGAAAAAAAGAGTCATCACCAAAATTAGGGACCCATCAGCAGCAACAAGACGGTGAAAAGAAACTGCTCAAGACACAAAAACAGACTTAAGAACAGGATTGATCAAGTGAGCAGAACACATGAAAATGGATAGTTAAAAAGGAATAAGAAAGAACATGATAGAAATGGAAGATAAAATAGATACAATAGATCTATGCTTATGCATAAATGTAGTATTTGAAGAATACTAAAAAATATAGAATAGAAAATGTATTTGGAGAAGTATAATTTCAAAACGGTTTTCAAAAATAAAATATTTAAATCTGCCTACAAAGCAAGGCAAAACAAACAAAACATAAACCGTCTCAGGAAAAATTGATACAGAAATGATACCCAATGGTAAAGAAAGACTCTCTTGCCATCCCAACAAACAAAAAGCGAAACAAACAAAAGAAAACCAAGATCAAAACCAGAATTTATTTTTCAAGGGGGAAAATTAGGTTGGTGCCAGAGTTTTCCATAGCAACATGATGCTTATAAAACCTCACTAAGAACAAATAAGAAACAGTAAAAATGTGTTAAACTCAAACTGTTGTTCAAGTACAAATGCTTCACCACACATCCTAATAATGCAGAAAATGCATTTATCTGATCTCATCTTGAAGAAACTGGAGGCTGAAATTTAACTAATCAGTAGAAAATGAAGAAACTATGGCAGAAGAACTGGTGGTGGGTTGTTAATGACTTTAGGATTACAACACACACACACACACAAACTGGAAATTATGATTTGAGAACACAATGTAAATATTAATGAACTATAATAACATTTTAAAACACTGAAACTAAAAAAAATTCAGAAGTTGAAGGGAATGAGAAGGTAGCCAAGGGTCAAAGGTTACCACTTAGTGCTAAAGAATCAAATAGAAGGAAATGTTTATTAAAAAGTATAAGGTTGAGATTAGCAGAAATATCATCATCATCATCATCGTCATCATCATGATTAATTAAAATTCGGTAAGAGTAGAAAAATGAGAGGCTACAGAAGAGGAACTATACACATGTCATTATCTTGCAGAGCTGACAGTCAATAGCTAGTAAGGATACAGAGGATTAAATATATTGTATAAACTATCAGAAAGATAAACAATAAAGAATGAAAAATGTTAAAACCTTCCCAACTATCTCTATGAACCTACACACAAACCAAATTAAAATATAACAAACCATAACTGTTAGTGAAAGATAAAAAGAGGCAATAGAGGCAGAAAGTATGTGATGTCTAAACTGAGTACAAACACATCTATGACATTAAAAAATATAAAAGTAAAAATGTATCAGTCAAAATAAATAGATTCTCCATTTAAGTTACAATGTAAAGAACAATTTTGTGCTATGAGCAAAAGACACAATTAAAATAAAGTGACTGGAAAGTTGAAAACAAAAGGAAGGAAAAAGGCAAGCAAGCAAATCAAAACAAAACTAGAAATCTTAGTTTTAATATCAGGCATGTATCAGACAGGTTGAGTACAGGGCTCAAAACAGTAAATGACACAAAGATAGAAACTTTATTGAAACCTGCAATGATGATCTAAACATTATAAATATTTATGCACCAAAAAAACATAGCAACAGCTTTTATTAAGCTAAAAGGCAGTACATATAAAAACAAAAGGCAGGAGATGTATAAAGAGTAAGAGAGCAATACAATTCCTTCAGTTTAAAGATATCAGAATACTTTTAGAGTCACATTACACTTCATTTGGGGATTTTCTCTACTTTTCAACTCGCTGTATTTTTACAAACAGCTATAAAAGAATTGACAGTATCTTCTCCCTGCTACCATTCCTTTCATAGCTCCCCATATCTGCTGCATAAGTCCAAGTTCCTTTATAATGTGTCCCTGCCTACTTCTCTAGTGTTCTCCCACTCTTCAGGTGTTCACAGACATGCCCCACACTGGGAGCTTTCCTTTTCACACCTCCTTGCCTTTGCCTTGGTCCATGCCGTTTCCTTTCTCTGGATGCTCTTCACTCCCTCTGAAAGTAGGTGGACATAATTTTTAAGACTTCACAAACATGTCACTTCCTCTGGGGAGCCTTCTTTGCCTCCAACCCCCACCAGGCACAGGAAACAATTAATACATGCTTACACCACACTGGCACTAACCCAGTTCCTTGGGATCAAGACAAGAGAGATACCTTTGCTCCACCTCATCCTTCATTCCCCACACGTAATTAGGTACAAAGGCCTGCCAGTTGTTCCCTATTGTTTTTCATTTCTTCTATAACCACCTGACTGTCACCCCTGTATCCCTGAGCTCCTCTTCTCTGAGTATTTTGTGGAAGCATCACCCTCTCCTGTTGATTCAGCATCTGCCCTTGCATCCATCTTCTTAAGTAACACTTGGTCAATCAGCTCCTTTGTTCCAGGGTCTCCAGTGGGTTCCCTTTCCTTTATGATCAATTCTTTCATCTGATTTCAAGGCTTTCGGAGCCTGGACATGATGCCCTTTCCTAAATAATTGTCCATTATTACCATCTTACACACCGTTCCATCCACACTGACCATCCTTCCAACAATGCCATGGACACATACCATCTCTATGGCCATCCTGACCTGTACCATAATCACCTTTCTCATGTTCTTCCTGCTTTTCTTCCCTACATATCCAAATCCTGCTTCAAGGGCAACAGAGGGGCAACCTCCGCTTCCCCTCCAGCCCATCAGGCCACAAATCTCTGCCCTGAGCTCTTGTGACATTTATTATCAACACCTCAGCTTGGCTTTTATCTTAATTCATGCTGTGAGTTGCACTTTACTGTACATGCTTTATCTCATCAGATACACTTGACACCTCAGGGATTATGTCTTGTGCTTCTTCTATATTATCTTTGATATCTTACAAGGGGTCGAGAATATAGTAGGTGCTCAGCAATTATATATTCTTTTTAAAAACATAGAATCCATTGCTTTTGTACATGTCATTTAGCAGGATGCCAGTGCATTTGAATCCTAAGCCTTAACCTCTTTCACGGCTTCTTCCCTTCCAGGTTAGAGTGACCCAATTTCTAACCATCATTTTCTAATTATTCAGCTAGGCTAATTAATTACAATGGAGTTGCTTAATATTTTAAAAACTGCTGCCCTTCCATTATCTCAGTGGGCCTTCACATGATACGGTGTTGCAGGCAATGCAGGGATTGTTGGCTTAATTTTACAAATAGGAAAATAAAGTCACGAGTCCAAGACCACACAGTATGTCACTGGCACAAGGGAGGTCAGACTGCCTAGCTTCTGCTTGTTGTCCCTTATTCTTTACACCAGAACAAGCTCTGCCCCTTTGCTAAGTTTCCAGAACTCTAGATGATTAAATGCATTTTGAAAGCATTGATTTTTGCTAAAATGTTTCCTTATTTTGCTTTTGATTTCTCCCTCCCAGTGAAGATACTGCCTCTTCCTTGATGGTTAGCATCCTTTTTCTTCCATGAATGATGGCTCCACTCTATCCTCCTTTTGTTCTCTTTGCCTGAGTTTCCATTTAGCCCCACCAGCCCCTGGAGAACCATTCTGGCTTAATGCCTCCTGCATCCTTTCAAATTGTTCTTGTTTCTTAGCTCGGGATTTCCTGCAGGGCTGGCCTTCTCAGCAAATGAAGATCCTCCAGCGGAAGGCACTACTCCTGACCAAGGTTCTTGATCCTGCTGGGAGGTGGGGGTGGTGGCTGGTAGAGGAGAGGGTGCAGCCCTGCCTTGATTCTCTGGGAATACAGGCAGGTGGCTGTGCTGATGCAGTTCTGGTGAGCCCTGGAACTTGCCTGTACCTCATTTTGTTCTGACCAGCCCCTCTCTCCCCATACCTCCCACACTGTCTTTAGAATGATCTACCTCCACCTCCTCCAGGACAGCTAATTCACAGTGTGTTTTTTTTGTTCTCTACGTTATATGTATCACTTTTTAATTTGTCTGTGGGAGAGGGTGGAGTGGGTTGGTAACATTTACCGATGTCCTGGACTGAGTAGGAATTACCTTATATTATGTATCTTGAATGGATGCTGGAGTCACCCTTTAGCATAACTGTCCATTAGGTAAAATGAGTTTTCAGTTGTCTCAATCCCAGTAGTGTATATCTATTAGTTTTGTTTCCCTTCCTGTCCCTATGACCCTGAAGGGGACAAGGTAACCCAGCCTGAGTACAGATGGAACCTCAACTTCCTGGCTGCTGGGTTGGCCTGAGAAGAGATGGGCACGTGACCCAAGCCAGACCAGTCAGAGTCCTTCTCTGTGAGTTTCAAGGGGAGCTGGATAGAGGAAGCCAGCTTTCCTCTCTGGCTATTAAACTGTCAGGATATGAGGTTGCAGGGGCTGATGCCAAACCTCAACAACAGCCAATATGGGGGAAATGACATAACATCCGCAGAGAAACATAAATGGGGATTGAGGGATGGGTGATACTAGAACTCCAATACCAGTTATTCGTGAGGCCAGCTCCCACCCCTGGGTTTTAAGGAGCTTGGCTATATGAGCCTGTAAATTACCTTCTACTGCTGGAGCCAGTTTGATCTGTTAATTGCAATCAAGAAAATCCTGTCTAATATAATCCCTTTCTGTTGGTGACTTCTCCCATCACAAGTCCCATATGCTCTGTGCCGTCCCTGGCTACCCCAAACTGAGTGTCCTTACACTCAGCATCACTGTGGGTTCATTGGGGGTTGATTCCTGTCTGCTTAGATACCCCAAAAGTCACACCCACATGGACATTGTGTCATCATCAGTAGATAAGAAATAAAATACACATGTCCCTGAAAGAATTAGAGCTCCGCGGGAGAAGGGTTCTCTACCTGCTTTGTTAACAGATGTGCCCATCTGTCTAGGTGGGGCCAGGCACACAGTGGGCACATGAAGAATATTTGCTGAATGGAGGAATCAGTGAATGTGGTAATTTATTCATTCACAGGGGTATACAGGGTGCTTGGCTGCCTCTCTTTTTCTGCTCAGTCATCTCCAATCACTGCCCATTGCATTCCGAATTTAACTCTCTCTTTTATTTACCCTCAATCTACTTGGCTGGCCTTCTCTCTTATGACTACCCTACTTGTTCAAAGAACCTCCTAGTGTGCAGCAGGATGTTAGGTCACCTGAGTTTTTGGTCTGTCTCTGTGGACTCTGTGCCTTGGCTTGGGTGATTCCATCTATCTAGGATGCATCTTCTCTCTGTACTTCACAATCCCACATTTTGAACTCATGCCTCAAGGCCCAGCTCAGATGGAACTCATGCTCTATTCCTCTCATTCAGAAAGAATCTCACATGCTGCTCAGCTTTGCTAGCACATTCTTCAGCCTTCATGCTCTCTAACTTGTACTGATACCAGTTACTGATGCACATGCCCTCCCTTCTCTGGCAGACTCTAGGTTTCCTGGGTGCAGGCCTCCTTCTGCCTCTCTTTGTCTTTGTCCATCATCTTTTCCCTCTACCCCCTTCTTTTCTACCACACCCCTCTGTACTCATAGTCAACCATATCCTAGCAGTCTCACACAAAGTGGATGTCCAGGTAATATAATACATGAATAAATCTGTGTAAATTAGTGCAAAACGATCAACTGTGACCTGACCGAGATAAGCACATAGAATCAGGCTGCAGGGCTCGTTGCAAATTGGGGATAATAATCCTCACTTTCTCCCATCACAAATCCCATATGCTCTATGCCACAGACCTTGTGGGGCATGGCTGATAAAATCTATAGTTTAACCCAATGCCCAGCATTATTTAAAGCACTCAGTAAGTGTTGGTTGTTGTTTTTGTTATTAACAGGTCTTGGGCTACCTAGGAAGTCAGGAGGACACTTTTTTTTTTTCTGTCCAGCAGACATCTCTTATATTTGCAACGTGACACTTTTCTCCATTTTATACTTAGCAATGTGGTTTCCAACGCATCCATGCCCTTCCAGAGTCCTCCCCTATGGCTGTCTCTCAGCCAGCCAGGCAGTTGGCTGCTCCTCCCGTCATAGCTTACCCCTCGCCACAGCTGCTCTACCTCTAGGAAAGCATTTCCTGGGTCAGGTGGGCTCCTAGCTGACTGATTTTGGGAGTCCATTGTCCCAGGCATGCTTTCATGGTTTTCTTGAGATAGGGCCCTGAGGAAGGGAGGAGGAGAAGGATGGATGGATGCATGCATGGATGGATGGATGAAGGGAGGGAGGGAGGCTTCGGGCCCAGGTCTGGGATGACAAGATACTTTCTGCTTTGGGAGGCCAGAGGAGGAGGGAAGAAAAGATCACCTCCATCATGGACTACTGGCCCATGCCCTTCACTGCCCTGTCCTGGGCCTTGGAGAGATGATAGAAAATTGGGATGGGAGGCAAGCCTGGCTGCTTTCACAAAACCCTCTTTGTTACCACAACTGCCAACAGTGCAGCTCCATGAGGAAATGGAGCTGTTTGGGTGCTTTCTTTTATTTTCCCCTCTGCACACATATGCAATTGATTCTGGAGGCACTGCTTCTCTCACTGAACCCCCAAATATCTCCAGAGGTTTGCAAGGGGATGACACTGTGACAGAGATAGTGTTTTCTTCTCTCCGTTTCTTTCTGCATTTCTCTCTCTCTCTGACCCTCCTCTGTCTCACTCTGTATGTGTTTTTTCTCTCTTTAGCTGGTACCTGTGTGACCACCATCTCTTGTCTTCCTATTATTTCTCTAGCTGTCCCTTCCATTGTCTGTTTCTGTCTCTCTCCTTCTGAGGCTGCCCCTTTCCTTGTGCCCTTCCCTACTTCTCTCCTGCCTGCCTGCATTTTGGCTTTCCTTCTCACTGCCATGATGCTGTCACGGTGAGAAGGGGACAATCTATCTGTCAGAGACAGGCTCTACCAACCTCCACCATCTCTCTCCTGCTGCCGGCAATTATCTGGAGGTTGGCATTGGGCCCAGAAACTGCCGCTTGTACCACCCCACGGCTCAGGGCCTGCTCCTCCACACCAGCCCCCTTGGAGGATCACTTGGTGCCGTGCCCAGGATGCGACAACCTGCAAAGGTCACACGCACTCCCAAGAAGATGGACTGCTCTACGAGTGGAACTGACAGTGGGCAGATTTGCAAATGTCCCTCTAGACTTTCTAGCATTCCACAAAGGCAGGCAAAGAGCAGCAAAAAATAGAAATTACACGAAATTACGCACAGCACTGGCCCTCTCCACCTGAACATCTGCCACTCATGCCGGGCTTTATTTCTTTGCTTCTTTTTTTCAAAAGTGGCTTTTGAATCTATCTTATTTGACACAATATAACTAATTCATCCACAAGACTTCATTGAACGTTGACAGTACGCTAGGTACCAGGTGGGAGCTGACCTTACATTTATAGGATGCTGTGCAGTTCTGTAAACAGAGTCACAGCTATGACCTGACACACTCTCTCTCAGAGGTCCATGGGGTTTCAGAGCTGACAGAGACTTGTGAGGTTATTTAATCCAAACCATTTATCTCAGAGATGGGAAATTTGAGGTCCAGAGAAGCTAAGTTACCCTAAATCAGACAGTTAGTTGGTAGCAAAGACCAGACAAGAACTCAGATATTTAGGTTCCTGAGGAAATGTTCGTTTTACTCTTCACCCCACTACTTCTGTTGGGTAGACATGGTGGAATTATTATCCTTTAACAAGGGAGGAAACTGAGCTTCCAGGAAGACAAATGATTCTGCCCAGACCATTTGGTTGTTAGGCGTTAGCGTTCTTGTATCTCATTTATTTTAAAGTATGTTCTTCCAACCAGTCTACTAACCTTGCAAAACATCCTGGTAATCAGAAAAATTAGAAATAGGGTGGGCAGGGCTAATCCTCCTGGACTGATTTGAGCCTTTTCAGCTGGCTCTGAGCAGGGACACTGCTTTCATCAATACGGAGGCAAAGCCCTGTCATAAAGTGCTTAATCATGTTCAACGAGCCTTTTGCCAAGGGTCTGCCATGTGTCACGGGCTTATTACATGGCAGGTTAGCCCATATCCACACACTCTCACTAGGAGATCTTCATGTCCATAGGGTTCAGTGACTAGCTCACCACCTGCCCACTAGGGATTCACCTCTGTGCACTGTGGTACTGCCTCATGCAACACTGGGAAAACCCCAGCCAGAAACGGAAGCATGCACACACACAAAAAGATGACTGAAGGATTCTAGAATGTCCTACAAACCTGGCTACAACCACCCATGCTCCCTGCATGTGTCAAATGTGAAGATGTAGATAAATGGCCTTGCTTTTCGCAATGTGGCCTTTACGTAATAATGGCAGCTGTCATTTATCGAGCATCTACAGTGCATGAGATGCTATGTTAGAGGCTCCCCCCTCATCATCTCCCTTAATCCTCACCATCACCCCATTAAGTAGGGATCATCTTTGTCATCTGTGTCCCTAACTGAACATTTGGGAGACCAACGTCACACAGCTGGTGGGTCAAGCTGCTGGGTGTCGTGTTCAGGCTTTCAAATGACAAAGCTTATCACTGCTCCACACCAGGCTACCCAACTGCCTCCCCCTTTGCCCAATTTACAGGGAACCCAGATTAAGGTAGCAAAGGGAGTACAGGCTTTCTACAGTGAACTCATGGTCCCTGGTTCATGGAAGAAAGGGACAGCAGAGCCACCATGTGAGTAGGAGAAGATGGAACTGGTTATTGCGTCAGGGGTTGGGGTGGGCTGAACCTGCCTGTATACTTCCTGGGCTTCCAAAGATATTCTGTATCAGAGCACATTATAAGAATGGACATTGATCACTCCGAGGGAAACAAAAAGTTAACATACATTCAGCATATTTCGTTTTAAAAGGAGAGAAATCATCATAATGGTGTCATGATAATAGAGGCCATATATTGAGTGCTTAGCAGGTGACAAGCAGTTTGCTAAGTGCCTCACTTCTATTTTACAAAAATCTGCAAAGTAGGCATTCTCCCATTTTGCAGGTGAGGAAATTAAAGTCCAAAGATGTTAAAACAAAACAAAAAAATTAAAAAAAATGCAAAACCAGATTGATTCAGATTGTAACTGTAGAACTGGGATTCAAGTGTCAAGCCGCCTGTTTCCAAAGCTGCTCCATCTACCACGTGGCTCTCAAGGAAGTATACACTGCTGATTAGAAAGCTTTCCTACTAAATAATTAAAATTTCAGAATTATCCCTGTACTTAAAGGGATACATTTCAATTACCTGGAACAGTCACTGAGGCAGAACAGCCTCCCTGACTACACTCTTTCTCTGCTCCGTTTCAAATCACATATCTCAGAACCCTCAGACTCTAGTGGACAATATATGCCTCCTGCCTGGCAGCATCACGAGGGGACCCTAAAGCTAGGGAATTTATGGGCCCTGCTAGACAGTGTACAAGTCCCTTGCCTGCTCGGAATGCAAGTCTCTGGCCCGTGGACTCTCCATGGAAACCAGGGCTTGGTTCCCGCAAGTTGGCTGGCTCTAAAAGTCTATGCCTTTTGTACTGAGGTTTTATTTTCCTTTTTGATGCTGTTATGGGGGACAGTTGAAGAGGAAATTCCCTGTAGTTCAACAGAATCTAGATTTATAGAGTAGTATGAAAATATTTGCCCTGTGTTTGAAACTGCTGAAGAGGGAAAAAGAAACGTTGTTTTCTATGGAATTATGAAAACAGAAACATTGATTGGTTTTGTTTGGGGTTTTTCACTCATTCAATGATAACTTGATGTTTTCTGGTGCTTGGAGAGGGCCAGGTTTCTTCCAGGTAGCACTGGCAACTAGGAAAACTGTGCAGTTTGTTTCTTACGCTTTCTGCTCCACCCTCTGCATCCCTCCTACCACGTCTTCCCTTTTCAATTCCCACCTGCAATAATCCCAGGCCCCACATCACCTCAGACTCTCCCAGGGAGGAAAACAATCTAGCATTAATTCACAGTATTTACGAAGAATTGATGAGTTGCAATCTTTTATAAATTGTTGTCTCTTTTTAAAAAATGCTGAAGATGAGTAATTCTCCTTAACCCAAATATATGATTATGCTCAAACGATGCAATTTTAGGCACTTGTGAGAGAAGTAAGTTTGGGCAGAATTTCAAGGCCTTTTTGTTGCCCTTCATGTCATATCACACAGGCAATGATGGGCTCTGTCTAAATATGAGGCTGATTCTGACTGTGCACATGGATTTTGCTTCAGAACGACCTCTTTACAGAGCTGAAACTATTCTAGGCACTTTGATCTCAAATATCTATGGGAGCCTTTCTAGCAGACTGGAGGGACAGGTCCCAGAGCTTTGTTCCATAAAATAGATGAGGTTCTAAGGAATAGATTGTAGTCTAGAGCTTCTAAAAGATGGTCAGGATGCTGTCCTTTGCAGGGGAGGAAGAAAGAGAAATGCAATTCTCACTAATTAATTGCTCAATTACACCCAACCTAGGCAGCTCCTATCCACCTAGGTTCATCCTCACATGGTCCAGTGTTCCCTAATGCAAAGGAGTATCTCTGAAAGGTAACCACAATGATGCTTTCCCCAATGCAAGTTTTCCCAATGCAATACAAGATTCTAGTAGGCTTAGGTTTACCTCTGTTTGAGCCACTGTGACCTGCAATTTTCAGTATTGGGAAAAGTAAGAAACTGAAGGACATGGGAAAGGTGGAGTAGAAAATAGAAAATAGGGGCAAATTGGGTGGAAGGGAGGAGTGAGTTTTGGGGGGCAATGAAAAGGAATTGTAGAAAATAATCTTGGCCTCAGATGGCCTTTGTGAGGGAGTGGGAGCTGAGATCTCATAGGAAAGGTTGGGTCAGGTGCCTGGACTTAGGACACCAGGTATTGAGAAGGGGTTCATACAACACCTACTCAGCTTCACCAAACAAGTCAAATAAAGGTGAGTCAAAGCCTTTTTTCCTTCCAGCTTCTAAGTCACACTGTGAAACCCAGGAGGCAGAAGCCAATAAAATCTTAAAGACACCCAAGGTCAAGGCCTACTCATTTTAAGTGCTTCTTAGGGTGAATATTTTCTGCCACAAAGCAAAATGGATTTACATGTATCGCATTAAAACTGCAGGGGAGGAAGAACATGAAAAGTTGCCAAGGAGAGAGGGATTGTAAATGGAATTAATAGTACAGAACTCATTAGGGCCCATTATTACTAATTTAAGATACATGAAATGTTAGTGATATTTCCTTTATTTAGCACGTAGCATTTGTTGTTGGGTAGAGTGAACTTTATTAAGGCTTTCTTAGCTTCTCTTACAGTTCAGACCTGCCAACCCTATTTTCCCATAAGTTGGGAGTTTCACAGAGGAAAATTCTTCTATCATGAAGGGCTTTCAGGAACAGTCAGGAAGGTCCCTTGAATCTCAAATTCTGGGCTAACCCTTCTGCAAGGTGGACTGGGCAGCCCTAGTGTGTACATGTGGGGATAGCACCTGAATAGGAAGACTTCATTGGGAGGGTGCTGCAGCATGGAGGTGGTGGTGGGTAGATTGGGTGAAGAGTCAGTGTGTGATTCACAGAGGACCATCAGTAAGGAGTCTCATCTTCTACCTCCTCTCCTTTGCCTGGCTTTGGTGGCTGCCTGAAATGGTGCCATGGTAGAGCCATCATTGGGTGAAGGCAGCATTATTTCCTTTCAGGTGGGAATATGCTTGAGAATGGAATAGATCACTCACATCTTCATGCCAGTGGAAACTCAATCTCTCAGAACCCAATGGCTCTATCTTAGAGAGCAGTTTTAAGTACTAAAGGAAGCTGGAAGAGTCCGGGATATTGGGTGCTGACCAAAAAGATTGGACCTGGATGGGGCAACATGAGAGCCCCAGGTACCTGGTGGGAAATGGGCTAAGGTTTTGAGGAAGGAGATGTGGCAAAGGGGAGGTTGAGGATGTTTGGGCTGAATGCAACCATCTCCAGGTCTCTGCTGTTTTCTCAAATTTGTTTTTCTTACAGCAGAGTCAGGCCACGCTTTCAACGTGTTTATAGGTTCTTATAAATGGGGATGCTACCCTCAAAGGCATGATCGAAGCCACAAACTTAAATGAGAAAGGCCATAGCATGAGAGCTTTTAGTTTCCAAACCTAGTCTCTGAATGTCAGGCCAGGAGGGGGCTGGAGATGTCCCGATTCTGTGTGTGCTTTCTGAGCAGGCTGGTGCACCAGGAACTGGGCGAGGCCCCGGGAATAGCAGGCTGCAGGTGGTATATGCTTTCAGTCCAGCTGCTCACCTTCCTTTCTTCTTGGTTGAGAGAACTAAGGCCCAGACAAGGAGGTGGTGTGCTGAAAGTCACACACCTTCTTTGAGGCAGAGAAGACACACTGGACGTTTGTATGACATCACAGCAACCTCCCCCAGTGTGGCCAAGTGGGAAGCTCTCTGAAGGGTAAAGTCTCTTTGAAATAGGGAGGTGAGGGCACAACAGCACAGAGTTTTATCCTCCTCTACAGCACATGGAGACAAGGTCGAATAAGCCAAAGTCTACAGAGATGGAGCTCAGCAAATGTCCCAGTTGCCGGGGCACTCTTGCTTTGGGGCTGACAAGTAGGCCCTCTCTGTCTCCACCCTAAGACTCTCATTTGCTTAGCGCTTGGAAAGGGGATCCCTGGCAGGCGGTGGTGAAGGGCAAATGACTATCTCCAAGCTTGGCTGGTGCCCTTTCCATTGCTGGGGAGAGTTTGGATTCTAATATTACTCTTATGGAACTACTCAGCAGATGTCCTGCACTGACAAACTCAGGGATCTCTGAAAATCAACCCTTATTCAGAATGGACTGCCACACATTGTCCCTCCATCTCAGGACTTCCCCTGGCTTTCTAGAGAGCACCTTATTATCGTTGTCCTATTTTACTGTCATTTTTACCTCCAAAGTATAGCTTTCGGTACATCAGTATATTCATTGCACCAAACCACTTGTAAATTCTCCAACTTTAGTGGAATTGTGAAAAGTCTTGAGGAAGTTTCATCCGGGTGTCTGTTGACATGTGACTCTACCCTCACTCTCTCTGTCACAGATCCACAAATGTTTGAGGACACTGGGACTCAGAGGCTGTCATGTGGCTAGTAAAATTGCCCTTGGGCAATTTTAAAATTCTCTCTGCATCTTAGTTTCCCCTTCTGTGAAAAGAGGAGGCTGGACTAGATAGGTTCTAAGCTTTCTTCCAGTTATAACTTAATCCACTGAAGTAGAAATGGCTGATGGGCCAGGAGAGGCATTTATAAAATCAAATGCATCAATAGCTAATCATTTCAAGCATGATGTCACAGAGAGAAAACGGAGACTTTTAAGTGTGGGAGTAGAGAGATTTGGGAGTGTGGAGCCCACACAGCCGGAAGGAAAGACTTCTTTCCCTGAGTGTTACCCCGAGTGTGGGGTACCCTGCCAAATAGCTGTAGGCCACTCTGGGTTTTCCTGTGATGCCAGTTTCCCTTTCCTAATGTTCCAAGAAGAACATTTTCATGGAAGACAAATCACTGGTCCTTGACCCCTGTGACAGCAAATGGAGACTAATGAGAGGAGCCAGGACTTACGAGATGCTTTTATATTAATGCCTGTTGCTGCAAACCCTTTCCAGAAAGCTCCTTTGTGCTGCCCAGCTTTTGTTGGCTCCACTCTAGGGGCTGCAGATGGCAGGTGCTAGGCAGCAGTGCTTCCCTTGGGCAGGCATTTCTTCTCTGTCTATCTCCCTTCAGGGATGAGGCCTGAAATCCCCAGCCCAGGCTCTTTGCTATTACCTCACATTCAGAACAAAATCCCAATGTCACATCAGCATTTTTTTTCCAACACCATTCTCCTACGAAGGCTCACATGTGTGTGTCTGCAGCTTCCCTGTCACCTCTCCCGGCAACTTTCCTCCCTGATTCTTGACACTCGTCTCCCCATAGGACAGCATCTGACTCCAGGATGCTTCTTCTCCTCCCACCGCCCCAGCCCCGGGGGTAGCTGCTCTCATGATCTCCATTTTACAGATGGTTTAGACAGACGCACAATTAGGTAGTGACCTGCCCAAGGACACACAGGTAGTAAGTGGTAAAGTCAGAACAGGAAAGCCAGGCAGTCCAGCTCCTGAGCCTGTGTTCTTGGCCATGCAGATTTCCTTTTTTTTTTTTTTTTAACCTCCATAACCTTTCTGATTGCCAGTCACAATGTCCTGGTCCCCAAACAGGTCACTACCAGTGACCCTCTCTAACTTGTTGCTTTCAAACACTGCTCCTAGGATTTTAGAACTCTCAAATGCCTCTGGGCTTGAGAAATGTGGCCCAACTGCAATTCAAAGCAAGCCTCGCCACTTTTATGAAACTCCCTTTGCTACCCGAGCTATGAGCTACCAACACTGAGGCTCCATGGGGAAATGGAGCTGGTTTGGGTTCTTTTATTTGTTCCCCTCTGCACATATATGCAGTTGACTTTGGAGACCCCCTGCATGTTGCTTCTCTCTAAATCCACCACCAGGGACATGCCTCAAACCAGAGATGCTGTACGTCTGGGATGGTAGGGGGGCTTTCAGGAACCATTGTCCAGCAAACTGGCTGAAAAAGGGCTATAGTTGTTTACTGTACTCTATTGATCCAGTCTTAAATAAGATTTAGTCTTATTTGGTAGCTGAATCTGAGACTCAATGAGATTAAATATTAAAAAAACCTTCGTATACTACAAAGTACTAGGCAAAATGTGCTTTGTTATAACTTACTAATATTCAACTTTCACCCAAAGTGGAATTGATTTTTTTTTAATTTGTATTGCTGTGTGCTCCCTAACTAGGAGGAGATCCTGGCAGCCCTGAGGTCTCCAGGTCCCTGTATCTTGTGGGTCCTGCAGGGATGTCCTCTACAAAGGCTCCGTCCCTCCAGGCACATCTTGGGTGGAATAATAGAGCATTTCCTCATGCTTCCCAACCCTACTGCCCAACTTGCATTTATTCCAAAGGCTGTCTTTACCTCAGCTTTGAAAATCTGCAACAGCCCTGCAGCTGGGAAGAGAGTATATCATTTGGCTTTTTGCCCAGAAAATAAGATGCTTCAAAAAGGTCATCCAAAAAAAAAAAAAAAAGTCTCCTGGGGAAGAAAAGGAAAAAAACACCACTCTCTCAAGGTTAATTGAGTGGAAGGTGAACTTTCATCACAAGCCATCCCTTTGAGAAAGCTACACGTCCTCCAGTACGTGGAGAGGGTAATTCACTGGAGACATGGACTGGGCTGCAGTGTGAGAACACATTGCTCTCTTAGAGCTGGCCCCAATCCCTGAGCACTTGGAGAGAGTGTCTTCACCATGGAGGAGCAGATGGGAGGTGCAGACATGCAGCCACCTTACTGAGGAGCCCAGGCCTCTACAGGAACAGAGGTGTAAGGCTGGACTCCTGCCTTCAGGGAGCTTTTGCTGTTGTGGATGCAAGGAGACTAACAGCCAGCATAAAATGGATAAGAGGACAAACAGCATCCCCTGGGGGCACTGACTCTGCAGAGCTCTGGGTGCTTAGAATGAGCTGGGATGAATGGTCGCAGATGGTGCTGCTCTGAGTTATGAGAAGCCTGACTGGAGACTTAGCACTTCCTCTTCCTCTTCCTCTGCCTAGCCCTGTGGTTCTGAACAGGGGATGATTTTAGCCCCCAGGGGGCATTTGGCTATGTCTGGGGACACTTTTGATCGTCACAGCTGGGAGGGAGGTACTACCAGCACCCCTTAGGTAGAGGCCAGGGAGCTTCTAAACATTCTACAATGCACAGGTGAGCCCCCAGAGTAAAGAGTTACCCAAACCAAAATGTTAATAGTGCCCAAGTGAACACTATTAACTGGTCTAGAACTAACTCCCAGCACCCTCATTCACAAGACTTCCTCTTTCCTTTACTTTAGGTGTGTGCTCAAAGCCCCCTTACCAGAAATCCCTTCACAACCATCTTACAATAAGAAAATACCCATTTCTCACTCCATCACTCTTTCTCCTATATCTTGCTTCAAGTTTTTCATAGCTTTTGTCTAATATACGTAAATGTATCTGTGTTCAACTGTTTATAGGATTGCTGCCCTCTTACACTAGAATGTAAGTTCCATGAGACCACAGACACTGTCACTTTTGTTCATTACTCTAGTCCCAATGTCTAAAACAGAAGATGCAGCAAATGCTCAATAGATTTTTTTTTTACTTTATTATTATTATTATTATTATGCTTTAAGTTCTGGGGTACATGGCAGAATGTGCAGTTTTGTTACGTAGGTATACACGTGCCATGGTGGTTTGCTGCACCCATCAACCCATCACCTACATTAGTTATTTCTCCTAATGCTGTCCTTCCCCTAGCCCCCCACCCTCTGACAGGTCCTGGTGTGTGATGTTCCCCTCCCTGTGTCCATGTGTTCTCATTGTTCAACTCCCACTTGTGAGTGAGAACATGTGGTGTTTGGTTTTCTGTTCCTGTGTTGTTTGCTGAGAATGATGGTTTCCAGCTTCCTCCATGTCCCTGTGAAGGACATGAACTCATCCTACTTTATGGCTGCATAGTATTCCATGGTGTATATGTGCCACATTTTCTTTCTCCAGTCTATTGTGGATGGACATTTGGGCTGGTTCCAAGTCTTTGCTATTGTGAATAGTGCTGCAATAAACATGTGTGTACATGTGTCTTTATAGTAGAATGATTTATAATCCTTTGGGTATATACCCAGTTATGGGATTGCTGGGTCAAATCAATATTGTGAAAATGGCCATACTGCCCATAGTAATTTACAGATTCAATTCTATCCCCATTAAGCTACCATTGACCTTTTTCACAGAATTGGAAAAAACTACTTTAAACTTCATATGGAACCAAAAAAGAGCCTGCACTGCCAAGACAATCCTAAGCAAAAGGATCAAAGCTGGAGGCATCACGCTACCTGACTTCAAACTATACTACAAGGCTACAGTAACCAAAACAGCATGGTACTGGTACCAAAACAGATATATAGACCAATGGAACACAACAGAGGCCTCAGAAATAACGCCACACATCTATAACCACCTGCTCTTTGACAAACTTGACAAAAACAAGAAATGGGGAAAGGATTCCCTATTTAATAAATGGCATTGGGAAAACTGGCTAGCCATATGCAGAAAACTGAAACTGGACCCCTTCCGTACACCTTATACAAAAATTAACTCAAGGTGGATTAAAGACTTAAATGTAAGACCTAAAACCATAAAAATCCTCTAAGAAAACCTAGGCAATACCATTCAGGACATAGGCATGGGAAAAGACTTCATGTCTAAAATACCAAAAGCAATGGGAACAGAAGCCAAATTGACAAATGGGATCTAATTAAACTAAAGAGCTTTTGCATAGCAAAAGAAACTATCAGCAGAGTGAACAGGCAACCTACAGAATGGGAGGAAAATTTTTGCAATCTATCCATCTGACAAAGGGCTAATATCCAGAATCTACAAAGAACTTAAACAAATTTACAAGAAAAAGACATTTCTTAAGTTAGTCAATGAATGGATGCTAGCCCCAGACAGCTCTGTGAACCTGGATCGGTCACTTAACTAGTCTAACATGCATTCAGATCCTCATGTTAAAAAAAAGGAAGTTGAGGATTAGAATGTTTCATTGTGGATTCCCCACCCTTCCCCAGCTCTAAGCTTCTTTGATTCTACAAGAAAGCAGAACTTGGGCTGGGTACAGTGGCTCACACCTGTAATCCCAGCACTATGGGAGGCCGAGGTGGGTGGATCATGAAGTCTGGAGTTGGAGACCAGCCTGGCCAACATGGTGAAACCCTGTCTCTACTAAAAATACAAAAATTAGCTGGGCCTGGTGGCATGCGCCTGTAATCCCAGCTACTCGGGAGGCTGAGGCAGAAGAATCGCTTGAACCCGGGAGGCAGAGGTTGCAGTGAGCCGAGATCATGCCACTGCACTGCAGCCTGGGTGACAGAGTGAGACTCTGTCTCAAAAAAAAAAAAAAAAAAAAAAAAAAAAAACAGAAAAGAAAAAAGAAAGCGGAACTTGCTATGGGAATTTTGGTTGAGGGAGAGGGCAGGTTTCAGTAAGGGAGGCACTGTGAATGCAAGATGTGCATGTTTGAGTCCCTACCTCATGTGGATGCAGTGAGTGGCAGCTATTGTTATCTACGCAGAATGACACTAGCCTTAGGCACAAAGTTCACAGGATCACAAAAATACTCAAGAATTACAAATAATATTTTAATACAATATTTAAAAATGAAAGTTAATGCAAAAATCTATAATAAATGAAACACCAAAATGTTAAAGACAGGATTGTATTACTGGTTTTTCCTTTTGCTATGGGCTCCAATCTGGCTCAACACAGCACTGCTACTGATCCTGTCTTTATTTAAACATTTTGATACTTTGCTTATCATAAATTTTTGACATTAATTTTTGATTTTAAAAATGCCCTGGAAGCTGATTTGTCCTGATTACTGAGATTTTTGTCACCTCTGTCAATTTTGTGCCCAGAGTGAGTTGCCTCACTTGGTTTGCCCTAGTTCCTGCTCTCAGCCAGGGGATGCCGGAGAGCAATGGGCACAGCTAAAGGCAGAGGGGAGCCTCCTGCCATTCATCCCTAGGGAAGAAAAATGGTGAGAGTTTTGGGGACAGCTAGTGGGACCTTGGAATTTGAGGGCTGGGCTTCCCAGGCAGAATGAAGCTGAGTAGGTGGGTCTGAATTTCCAAGTGAAAAAGCAGAAGATATCCTCAAGGCTAGAGGAGATCTAGGTCCTGGTTTGACTGGGACATTCCTGGTTGCACCAGTTGTCTCAAGGCAGTTATTAACAGTGCCTCATCTTGCTCTCTAAGATGTCCGGGGTTGAACACTAAGTATATGGTCACCCTGGGCCAGGCTGCTGTCTAAGCAATTGCTTCAGTGGGCCACTCCTGAGCACTACAAAGGAGAAAGATATTGCCCTTCACTTGAGTTCTAATCTCTGTGGATCTCTGGTGCTGCTGAAGAATGCCTCAAACACCACTTTCAACCTCAGCTAAGCTTCATAGCTCTTAGCCTTTGCCGTGTAGCTATTTTTTATGTGTGTGACCTTACCCTTGTCTTGCTAGAGTCTTAGCCCCTCATGGCTTTGACTTGTGACCTACTGCCAGCTCCACAGAGTGGCTGTCCCAGGAGCCACACTCACAAAGAAGCATTTTTGTGAGTGCATGGCGTTTTTCTAGTCCATGGTGTTGGAGAGAGAAATGTAAATGACAAGAAAAATAATAAACACATAAAATTAATGTCAGACTTTTTAAAGGCCTAATTTCTATGGCATTCACCTAATGTTAGAGTCCTTCTTTGTTGCATTGTTTCCCCTGAACCTAAAATGTAGATATTGGCTAAAATGTCACGTACCCAGTAAGAAATACTAAATTCCATCTCACTCACACACAAACAATGGATGAAGGACATAGTATGTAAAGTCAAGTGGTAATAAGTACTGAAACCAAAGGGATGTGCACTCTTGGATGATTGGCAATAATGCACTTTAAAAAAATTCACTGGTGTTTCATTATCCTTGTATTTTGGGTTGTTAGTACCCCAAGTGCTGGGTTTCATATTTTATAGGCACTGTCCTGTTTAGTAAATGGCAGACCTGGGATTCAAATGCAGGCATCTCTGAGTCCAAGCTTTTGGCTAAACTTCTACAGTGTCTTGCCTCTCATCCAGGATCAAATCAGAACTTGAGAGTGTCTCTTACACACACATCGTGTCCTCTGTCAAAGGGACATGTGACCAGATATCCCCCCAGCTGTCCCCACTCTTGAGTACCCCCCATATTTTTGATTTGAAAAATATTGCATTGAAAGATGATTTGTCTTGATTACTGAGCTTTTTGTCATCTCAGTCAATTTTGTGATTAACTAAGGTTCTGATTAACCATGTTCTGGTTAACTGAGGTTTGACTTGCAGAAAGGGCAAACAGATAAATTGGGAAGCAATCATTAACCGAACCCATAATATGATCTTTCAAAACAGAATGTACTTGGTCTTTTGAATAGTTTGTTGCTGAACCATAATTCTTAAAATTCTCAGATAGGAAAGGAATTTAGGAGTCATCTGGTGTAAATATCTTTGACTATTGAGTTGAGATGCCAAGAAATTTAAAGAAAAATGGTTTATTGGAGTGCAATTGCAGGCATAGATAAACTGTCTCTAAGATGTAATGTGAACGTGAATAAGAGAAAAGGGAGCTTATTAGCCTCAATTTAATTATTTTTTATTTATTTTAAGTTGGGCTTTTATATTCAATTTTGGGAATAAGAAAATTTCATACAATGAAATTTCTTCCCCTCTTTTAAATAAACAAAATCCTACCCATTCTTCAAATTCTAATTTAATTCTAAGCTTTTTCATGGAACTCTCCCAAGGATCAGATAGTTATTTTTCCTTCCTTTGAATTTGTATTTTTCTTAGTCTTCACTATGGCACTTAGCATTTAATTGTTGAATTGCTTTCTGATACTTTTATTCTTCCAAATTGAACGCATTAAGAATGCAGGAAGTGTATCTTCAACTTCTTGCTCCCCGAGAACCCCCTCTCTTAGGGACAGGCTTTCAGCAAGTTCTTTCAGGGCCCTGCCTATTTTCAACTGGGCATTCAGTTGAAAATCCCTGAAGGGGTCAGGGTTAGTTGACTGGACCATTCAACTAACTTACAGCTGCCAATATTGACCTCTCTGTGCTTGAAGGCTCTTTTTCTTCAGCATCAATTGTGGAAAGCTTACTGTTTTTATATATGGCAGGCCAAAACTTCAAGGAATTATTACTCCTCAGGAGCAGTCCTCAAACCAATGGCTCTTGGGAGCTGGTGTATAAACACCGTGGCTCCCTTGTCCTTTGAAGTGGTTGAGCCATGTGTTTTGCACCATTTCCCAGAGCTTCCCCAAGAGTTAAGGCTCCAATGGCCCACAGTAGCAGCTGGCTAAATGATGGACCCTTTATTCTCTGCCTTTTCTCCTCATACTACCTTCCCCATTTGTCTCCTGGTGTTACCTGCAATTCTTGACTGAATGGTTTGCACTCAAATCCTTTATCTTCAGGGTCAGCTTCTGGGGTAACTCAAACTAAGACAAGCACAGAGGCTACAGTTAATATTTACTTGTTGATCAGATAATTAATAGACTGTCAGAGTGTAACCTTGCAGATATGGGGATTGTGCATTCTGTATTCAGAGGGCGTGATGTTATCCCCTGCAGTGGTACTCATTTAATTCTAGTTGAATGGAACAACAATGATGGTCAAGGGTCCCACCCTAAGTTCATCTGGTTCTGTTCACTAATCTGTATTTGTGATCTATTACTGACTCTGGTAAGCAGTGGAGAGCCAAGGGGAATTATGTCAAACCCCTATAACCCCTCTCCCATCCCTGCTGCTACCAGCTGTATATAATTCTCAAGTTGTATTGTCTTCAGAGTGATTACCTCCTGACAAGGCCAAGAAGAAATGTTGACCCTGGGTTAAGACTAAACCAAAGGCCCCTTCCCTTTAGAAGCCTAAAAGGATGGGAAAATGCACACCAGCAAGATGTTTCCTAACAGGGCCATGTCAAATTTATAGATAAATAAAATATCAAAGATCAAATGAGGCTAGATCAGCAGTTTGGACCTCTCCGCAACCAAGCAGAGAATGTGCTGTCTGACTCTGTCTTGGACTGATTTCCAGTTTTGTGATTCACAGCTGCAGCCAGGCAGAGCACATCCAATAATGCTATTTGTTTTCCACTTTTTAAAAAAGGCTGGGGAAATATATAAATGGTTCATAGAAGAAGCGGGCATTAGCAGACAGTCTGACCATAGTGAGACAGGCAGATGGTTCATGGGACCGATGCCAGCTGGGTGTTTCTGTAAGTGATCGTGTATCTCTTCTCTGTGTCCCAGCTCTCAGCTTGATTAAGAGGTCAGAAGGAGGCTTCTGCAGCATGAGGCTGGAGCACACATGATCTATGACCAATCTGTTGGTCGCCTAGAAACAGCTCTCTAAAAAGGCCCAAAGACAATTCAGTTTATAAGCCCACACGTTTTGGGCCTAGTAGTGCTGGCTGCTATTAAAACTAAGTTTGATTCTTGGGGTTTGTTTTCCTGAATGCCACTCAGCCCCTTTAACTTTTACGCCCCATCAACTCCTTCTCTTCTTAATATGATGGTATCATTTGGTAAGTGGAAACACCCTTCAGATGGGATTCTGGGAAGTGAGTGAAGCAAGCAGGCAGTTAGGAGAAAGAAGGGGTCAGGGAAAACTGGGTGAGGTCTGATTTTCCCTTTCTGCACTTGCTGAGGCCTGACTGGGTGTCCAGCACTGGGGGAAGATGTAGGAAAAGGAGACTCCATCGTCTTTCCCCGGGCGCAGGAAGTTTATGTGTATGAGGCAGAGTAACCCAAGGATGCCAAGGATCCAAATGAGAGGTATGAACAATGTGTTTTGGAAATGGTCAGAGTTGGGGTCAGGAGAAGGCTTCAGAGAGGAGGTGGAATGTGGGATAGGTGAGATTCTCATAGGTGAAGAAGTGGGATTTGCAGAATTGCCCCTCACCCTCCACTAACCTTTGGAAAGTCTCAATCTATATGCTCTTTCATAGTCTTTATCCTTGTTTGTCTGAAGAGCACAGGATGGTGAACTGTCCAGACAAAGGACTCAAAGAAAAAAGATGCTCAGGCAATATACTGCAGGGCAGATGAAGCACTGGCCTGCCTGGAATGGGCTTTGAGGCTTTGCTCATTGATTTGCCAGTTAAATCCCACTCTTGAGTGATTCTCACAGCTGACCTGAATGCCCTTTGGGATGGCCACCTGCTGGCTGCACCTTCCTCTGCTTATGTCCGCTCCACATGCCCATCTGCTCTGTTACAGATTCCGGTCAGTGATCCTGGACTGAAATTTTACTCTCTCTCCTGATCAGAAAGGAAAGTGATTGTGCTTTCCAACTATAAATCTATTTAGTAAATATTTACTGGGTACCTACTTTTAGCAAGGCACCAGGGTAAAAATGTTTGAAGATCTAAAAATCTGCAAATACAGTCTGTCTCTTTCCTCAAAGAATTTGCAGTCTCTTCATGGAGTGGAGTTAAAAATAAATACATGAATGAAGATGCTGCAAGCCAGTGAGATATGCACCCAGAGAAGAGTAAGCAATGAGGTGGGAGTTAGAGGGAGGAGCTGTCACTTCTGGATGGAGGGACAAGGGCAGGTTTTTTGGGGAAGAGTCTGCGCAGAGCAACAGGACTTGAAATTGAGGGAAGGCAGAGCTCTAGGTTTTATCTAAAATTCTGCATGTGGAGTGGCAGTTAGTAGAAGCTGATTCTCATGTCATTTCTTTCTCAAATCATTTCATGTGTTTTCATTACTGAAAACAACCCATCTAAAGGCCATGATAACTTCTGGAAAAAGTCCATGCTAATTTCTGGTTTACCTAGAGCTCTCCCAGTTTACATATTATTAATTAACCTTCTTTCATTGTACAAACTGTCATGGTTTGAGAAATGAATTATATAGGCATCTTAATTCTTGACAATGCTTTCAGCAGCCTTTCAGAAATTCTAAGGTCACAATGTTGGATTAGCTGTTTAAGCTGCAAGCAACATGGTAGATTTTGGGAAGGGATGTAAGCTTGAACCAAGAAATCCCCTTTATTTTGCTTCTAAATCAACATATACAAATCAACAAAAATAAAAAGCCAAGGCACCCTTTTTGCCTAGAATAGAAGCAGGTGGGTGTGCCAGTCATACACTCATTGCTGAGGTATGCTGATAACACAGCAATGATCATGGATAATCTATTAACACACTTGAGCCATACTCAGTCTTGTTTTGCAGATAAACATAGTCTGTGATTATTTTACAACACTGTTAAGGTGCAGAGGGTTGTCCCTCATTTATTACTTGACTAATAAATACTTTAATTACACTTAATAAATAATGTAAGCAGGGCTCACTGAAGTGGTAATTCTTTAAATTAATTATTAACTGCATGCAAAAGGCTGCACTGCCAGTACCACTAAAAGAAAATTCAGGCTTTAATCTAGTGATTATTCATTATCTGGTATAAAGGCTCCATTTGCATATTATTAGGGAAATAAACTTCGGCCTCCTTGGCAATACAGATAGATCTCAAAGTCCATGCATTATGAATCTCCAAATACTAAAGCAATGATAAACAATATGTAATAAAATCCTCAGTTTATAGCTTTATAGCAGCTGGTTTTTGATTTTTCAAATATATTACAATGATAAAGTGACCAGTTAATGTATAAGCTCTTTGTGAAAGGTGGTGCCTACAGATGGTCGACTGATAGGAAACAGTAAATGTGCAAACTGCTCATTTCCCTTGAGATTGGAGTCATAAAGTGATCTCAGTAAGATATGAGAAGAAAATACCCATTTAACCCCTTTCTCTGCAGCAACCCAAACATGGTAGTGCACTGAATTGTTTTGTATGTGTCTGTTTCTCCTCTCCTCTCTGGCTTCACATCTTCACTTTGGAAAAGTGAAAGCGGAATACCTGGTTATCCGGAGGTCACTGTCTCCACACAGAGTGGTGTCCTTGATGCTAGCTTGGGGCAAAGAAGCCAGGTAAGGTTGTCATCAAAAGAGAAAGATGATTTCTAAAACCAGCAAAAGGCTAGAATTTGTGTGCCCTTGCATTTTCTAGCTTGATACTCCCTCCTTGAGTCTGGGCAGCTCCCAGGGGAGGTGACTGACTACCCCCACCCCCCATCCCTCCCACCAGGAGCTATGGCCAAAGAACAAGCACATGAAGCAGCCTCCCAACATCCCAAACTAGAAAGTGCTGAGACCAAATCAATGAATCAAAAACAGGTTTCCAGAGGAGAATGAGTCTCTCTTCCTCTGCTTCTTTTAGGACAAAGTGGAGGTGGGGATGAGAAGCAGGGTGGGGAGGGGGAGAGGGAAGGAGATAGGAAGCCGAGGGCTCATGAAAATGCTGACAGTCACAAGGAAGCAGGAATGACCTCTCTTCCCATTTCCTATTCTGTCCTATTCATCTTGCTGAGCCCCATTTTGGGACTACTTCTTTCCAGTGGTCTTCCCTAACCCCCTATTCATTTCAGTAGTCACCTATAGTGTGGACCAGTCAATACTGCACAGACCTGTGCGAGGTGGGGAAAGGGCTGCAAGAAGATGAGTTGTGTCCTTTAAAGTGGACATTTTGGGAGCTGAAGCTATTTCAATAATGCTGATACTACTCCAAATAGTATTGATAGATAGATCTGCTTTTCATGTTTGTATTGGTCAGCTTGGGCAGCTATAACAAATATCATCAATTGGATGACTTAAACAAAAGACAGTTTCTCTCACAGTTCTGGTGGCTGGAAGTCTAAGACAAGGGTGCCAGCATTGTTGGGTCTTTGGTGAGGGCTTTCTTCCTGGCTTGCAGACAGCTACTTTCTCACTGTGTTCTTATGTGGTGGAAAGAGAGAGCTCTGGTCTTTTTCTCTTCTTATAAGGACACTAATCCCATCATAGGGGCTCCACCCTAATGACCACATCTTAACCTAATCACCTCACAAGAGCTCCAAATCCAAAACCCATCATATATGGGGTTAGGGCTTCAACATATGAATGAGGAGGGCACAAACATTCTATCCATAACAATGATCTTCTGAACATATTCAATGAGAGAACAATTATATTAACAATAATCACACTCTTTAACTGAGCGTGAACCCTGTGTGCCAGGGGTTTCACTTACATTATCTCATATTATCCCCATGGTGACAGCAAGAGGTAAATATCATTAATCCTTTATAATGGAGAACACTAAGATTTTGGAGAAAATTATATAGCCTAAGTTAGAACCCAGTGACTCCAAAGCCAAGGCTTTAATGTCTTTGCTTACTGCTCTGCCTTCTGAAGGTAGAATAATCAGTGGTTATTTCCCAAAAGAACCACTTTCCTGAAAGTGTTCCTTTCCACGTGTTACTAATGTGGCTTCTCTAGGCATTTTCTTTAGCTCAAAGAGAATTCTAAGAGTAGGAATTTTAGGCACACTACAGGTTAGTGGGATAATATTTGGGAGGGAAGGGCCTCATCTGCCTCTTGATATCATGCCATAAAGGCAACTGCCTACTCCATCTGTGATATCTGCATAGGGCCAACTCTATTCTCATCTAACCTAATCTGTAGCTTGTTGGGCCACTAACTTCAATTAATGTTTGCACATATTACTCATTCAATCTTTCAATCATTCCTATGAGCTAGGTTGGTATTCTTATTATTCTTGTTTTAAAGATGAGAAAACAAGCAGAGAGAGATTGGGCAATCTCCCCAAGTTTACACAGCAAGTGAAGAAAAGACCACCACAGACTCAAATGTAGGCATCTTTGTTTTTATCACTAAAGAATAAACAGTTGGATCCTCCATCACAAATGTCTCTTACGTCCTATCAAAAATGGTGTCAGGCCAGGCTTGGTGGCTCACGCCTGTAATCCCAGCACTTTGGAAGGCTGAGGCGGGCAGATCATGAGGTCAGGAGTTCGAGATCTGCCTGGCCAACATAGTGAAACCACATATCTACTAAAAATATAAAAATTAGCCAGGCATGGTGGTGCATGCCTGTAGTCCCAGCTACTTGGGAGGCTGAGGCAAGAGAATTGCTTGAACCTGGGAGGCGGAGGTTTCGGTGAGCCAACGTTGTGCCACTGCACTTCAGCCTGGGGAACAGAGCAAGACTCCGTCTTAAAAAAAAAAAAAAAAAAAAAAAGCATGTCAATTTGCCACAAAGAGTTAAACATCTGCACATTTACTCCCTTACCTACAAGATTCCCATCATCCATTTGTTTTGCATTCCTTCATAGTTCCATTCACTCATTAATTCATTTAACAAATATTTTCGAAGCACATTACTTGGTACCAGTCATTGTATTAGATACTGGCTATCAAATCCAAGTTTACAAAAGGAAATTGAACCAATGGGCTATTAGCTGAATTGACAACGTGATCTAATGACTTTGATGTTGGTAGAGACCTCTCCACTTTCTCCACCTCTCATAGGCTCCCTGAGAGAAGTAGCTTTAAAAAGAGCTGTCGATGCACACCTACCTGTGCGGCTCGCCACTGGCTCCCACTTTTAAAGAGATGATGGCATGATTTCTGATTACAGCCATTAGATAAAATGAAATAGAGAAAGCTGGCTCACCAGTTTCATCCTGCTTAATCAAATAGCCTAATTCATCATATTCACTCACATGATAGTGCCTTTCCACACTTCAAAGACAGGCATGCACAAGCCCAGTTCAGGTTTCCATCCAACGGCAACTCACTCCTTTTTAAATATGGACAGATCATCTTTTCTTCTTTATTTTCCCCCTTCTGAAAACCTATTTCAGATCCAGCCAGGAAGAAACCTATGCTGGGGATAGCATTATCCTTCATGACAGAATTCAGCAGAATTTCTTTCTTACTGACTTTGGGGCTGGAGTGGGGTCTGAGCCAGGATCAGAATATCAAAGTATGTCAGAACTGGCAGGGTCCACAGGGAGAAGGTAGTGCATCCACTCACTTTACAGATAAGAAAACCTACAAGATTGCCACAAAGCAGGAGCAGAGCTTCAGCTTCCAGACTCCCTAGCCAGAGCTCTCAACTTGTCTTATCTCTAGGATTGCTGTTAACACCTCAGAAAACCTTAGAACAGGGCTTCCAGTTGGTTCTTCAGTACACGCACAAAAGTCTGCCTTCAGATACATTGCTGATGGTTCCACAGAGGATCCAAACTTTCTTTATGATAGAAACAAATTTGCAGCATTGGTAATGGTTACTCTACTGTGCTTCCATTTCTTCTCCCTTGTCCTCTTTACTTTTTCCAGGGACCCACTCTCCATGTGTGTTTCCAGGAATTTTGTACTGCTAATTGCACCTGTTTTCTCTCCCTAAGGCCTGGATTATGGAAAAGACTACTCTGGATAGGCTTCTTTCTCCTTCCCTTTCAAAGAGCCTCTGCACCCAGCTGACTATTATTATTTCAAATGAAGAGAGGGAATGCCTTACACCCTTATTCAAAATGAGATCTGAGTGACTGATGTAGGGTCTCAGAAAAACATACCCCAAAACAAATCCCTCAGAAGCAAAAGTCTTTCTCTGACCTGCCCTCCTCTCTCTGCCTCTCATTCTTCCCAAGGCTAGCCATAGAAACTAGAACCCCTCTGCCCTACAGAAGATCACAGAAACTAGAACTCCATTTCCCCCAATCCAGCCATAAAACCTACAAAGATTACTCTAACTCTTCCCCCACCCCCACTGCCTTTCTGTGTAAATCAAGATGGCCATCAAGAAATTATCTGACCTATCTTCTTTGACTGTAGGTCATAAGACCCCCATTCCAGAGACAGTTCTGCCACACATCCACGGAAAGATTGTGTGTTCAAAGAGGCCAAGAAGAATCTAGACAGACAGGCCTTACTGGGCATCCCCAATCAGTCCATTAGCATCAGATGATGCCTTTTTTTGTCCAGTTGTATTTCTACATAGTTATCCTTACTTTGCTGAACCTAAGCATAAAAATAGACAGTTTTCCCTGCATCTTTGGGTCTTCATTTTGAAAGCTCACAAGTCATGGAAAACTATGATCACACACATTTATATGCCTCTTCTCCTATTAGTTTGCCTCTTGTCAGTGATTTTCAGTGAATCTTCAGAATGTAAACCTTCACCTTCCCCTTCCCCTTCAGTGAACCTACACTGCCAACTAATATACTGGGGAAACTGTTAATTTGAAACAAGGATAAATCTCATGGTTAAATTTCAGTGGGTTTAGACTTTGGAGCAAGGAGACTTTCCCAAATAGTTTTCAAAACATGCACATATAAAACCATACATATGTGCACAGCTGGCCCACATATTGACATTGTGTAGACACAGTCTAAAAGCTTCAACAACCTAGCACCTGCCAATCCCCATGCACAGACACATCCTGGGCAACCTAGACAATATGGTTGATGTATACAGGAGGGAATTTTTTTCTAGCTACCTGACTTAGTTAAAGATAAATCTTTAGCAAATGAAGGCTTAGCAAACAATAACAATAGTGATAGTAGCTTCCTTTATGGAACACTTAATTTGTAATTAAGCTTTATATACATCTCACTTTTTTTTCTGACAAGCCTTTTATGAATTGATTGTATCTTCCCAAAATTCATATGTTGAAGTCCTAACTCTTAATATATTAGAGTATAATCTTATTTGGAAATAAGTTTATCCCAGATGTAATGAGTTAAGATAAGGTTATAATGGAGTAGGGTGGGCTCCTAATCCAACATAACCTGTGTCTTAATAAAAAGAGGAAATTTGGATATAGAGACATACACAAAGGGAGAATACTGTGTGAGGATGAAGGCAGAGATCTGAGTGATGCCTTGACATGCCAACGAAAGTCAAAGATTGCCAGCAAACCACCAGAAGCAAGAGGAGAGACATGGAACAGAATCTTCCTCACAGTCTCAGAAGGAATGAACTCTATCAATACCTTGATCTCTGACTTCTGGACACCAGAAGTGTGAGACAATAAATTTCTGTTATTTAAGCCATCCAGTTTGCGGCACTTTGTGATGGCAGTGCTAGCATACTACCACAAAGCCTTTGAATAGTCCTATCCTCATTTTATCAACAAGGAAACTGAGGCTCACATCAGTTAAATAACTTGCCCAAGACCACATAGCAGGTAAGGAGCAAAGCCAGTATTCAAACTTGGATCTGCATGCTCTGCTCCTTCTCAGGTACGGGAAATTGTGTTGGTAAAAGCTAGGAAAGGCTAGTTTTTCCTCCACAACAAGCCAGATATGATACATCTTCCTTGTCAGCCTGGAATAGGACAGCCAGTTCTCCCAGGTCACACTCCCATCACTAATAGCACTCCGGGGTCTGTTGTCTACTTTTTTCATGTTTCTCCTTGTTCAGCAATTAACAGAATCCCAAATCAAATGCCAAGGGATGACATTAGAAAATAAAGTTTCCCTCTTCAATCTTCTCGTTTCATTTCTTTAGCCCTGAAAATGCACTGGAGGCCCCCAAATGCAGTGCATGCTTCATATTGTTTCTGAGAGAGCAAATTCCTAAATTCATCTGGGCTGGGAAGGAAAGCCAAGATTAAACCTAAAATGCTTCCTCATTCCTGGTTTCTGTGGCCAGAGTACCTCCTTGCCCTCTGGCATCCATCCATGTAGATGTCACAAACACACATGTATGGGCATGCGTGCACGTGTGCATGCACACAAACACAGAGAAAAGTTGAACTTGGCTCTCTCACTGAAGCCAAACAGACCAGATTCCTCCTAGGCCTCCTTGTCTTACTGCCCTTCCAGCACTAAGCACTGGTGGTCCCACACTTAGGAGTGTTCTCTCACCCTGTCTCCTGAAGCCAAGATCCATGGCGGTCCTGGGTAATGGCTATGGCATTCTTCTTTTAGGGTTTTGACTGGGTGGAGAAAAGGGGAGTGTGAGGGCAGAGAAATGGCAGCCCGTTTGGATTTTATTCCATTTCCAAATCATTTGAATATCATGCCCCTCCACAAGAGGGCACATGTAGACTTATCCTTGGAATCTCTGCTTGAAAGAGCCATTTCTTAGCATTTCCCAAGCTGAAAAATTATGTAAAACTACATTTTAAAAAGGCACCTTGTTATTTTTCTGAGCAGTGAGGCTGGAACATTGGCATAAGTAGAATGCAGTCAAAGACAGCCAAAGTGGAAAAAGAGAGGGCATGGCTGTCCGAGGGAAGGGACAGTTGGGAGCAGGCAGAAGCAGTCAGATGGTTTCAAATCCACAGTTCAGCTCCAGAGATTGGGCAAAAATAGGAGACCAGAAATAGAGAAGTCAGTCAATGGCAGATCAAAACACAATGAAGCACGAACACGGCAGCCTGGATGATCCTCAGGGAGGATGCTGTTTATTGTCTTTTTATTCTCCCGGCATTTGAGTCCTAGAGCAATGCTGGACTGAGACCTAAGGACTCAAAGTGTCTCAATTCCTGGTAGGTTCTCACCTATGACTTAAGTGACAATAGCAACAGCCGTTTCCCTTTATTGCATAATGTCTCTGTGTTCTGGGTTGCTCCAAGTGCTTTATTTTTTATGTAAGTTCTATTACTCCCCTCATTACAGATGAGAAAATGGAAGCTTTGAGAGAGATCAGTTTTCCAAACGTCATGTACCTTGTAAGTGATAGTGCCAGGACTCCAGTTAGGAATGTCTCATTCTTGGAATTCTGTCTACTAAGTCAGGAACACACTTTTAAAGCTGTAGTCTTCAGCCCATGTCCTCTGGTAGGTTTGCCTCCCCCTGCCTAGGCTTACTGGGTTCACCTTCCACTAAACTGCTGATGTGGACATGTGGTCTGGCACCCAGAGACACGTTCTGATTTCCAACAAGCTGGAACAGCTCTGCTGGTGAGGAGTGAAAGGAAACCCAGACTACCCAACTTCTCATCTCTATGGTCTTGGAGTAAGTGTCTGTTGACAAACCTGGCTGAGGTGGGGGTAGTGGAGAATGGAGTGTTAGAGGACAGCCACATGGGGTTCTCTGTATATGTTGGAAAAAGTCACAGAGCAACACTGCTGGATTTAGTCCAGATGTCATGAAGAAAATTAAAAAAAAAAAAACTTGAAAAATGATTTCTCTGAAACAGTGTTTGCATAGCAAGGTTCTAGGGCTAAGTTGCCCAGAGGTGGCCCATATTCATACTCCTTTGGAAGAGCCAGCCATCCATTTTCATTAGATCATGATTTGATCAACCTACACAGGCCTCTTTTTAGCTTCCGGTGAACCACAATATTATGACTGGGCTTAAATAATGCCAGAGCAATTCATGCAAAAGGGAAACACTCAGTTAAACCAGTCACAGGGCACTGCAACTAGCTTTCCAATGCTGAATTACTCTCCTGTAAGGAAATGGTCTTACTTATGAGAAAAAAAGCATAGAGTCTCCAAGGATTGCTCTGTGCAGGGTAGAGCCTGAGGGAAGACTTTCCAGGTGTAAAAGGCCAACTGGTGTCAAGTCTTTCCCTGGAGTGGTCTCTTCTCTGTTGGGTTCTTGCAAACTGGGATTCCTGTGTCTCCCTCACCCCCAACACTGTGCTGATGTGGATGTGGTGCCATTCCCTTCCAAACTCTCCACCAAATGTGGGCAAAACTCTTTTTCGTGTTTTTCCTTAGTGCAGCAGAGCAGAGACCAGTGTATAATTATTTAGCTAATTATATGTAATTATTTCATTGGCATTTCTTCCTCACTAGACTGTGAGCATCATAAGAGCAAGAAACAGGTTGGTTGTGTTCCTCCATGAATCCTCAACACCTACCATGGTGCCAAACATATTGTAGATGTGCAATAAATAGCTGTTCATTGACAGTTTTTCAAAAAGAAAACAAAAAAAAAATCAGAATATATACATAGCATGAGAATCAGTAGAGTTTTTTTACTGAACACTTCTCTGAGAGCCAAATGCCTTAGCTAATCCTTTAGTAACCAGGTTAGTATCTAAGTTAACAACATGGTGAAATCTGACAAGCAAACCAGGCAACTTTGCCTGGCATTTTTTTTAAGAGATAGAGTCTTGCTCTGTTGCCCAGGCTGGAGTACAGTGGTGCCTCCATAGTTCACTGTAACCTCAAACTTCTGGGCTCAAGCAATCCTCCCTCCTCAGCCTCCCAAGTAGCTAGGTGTGCACCATGCCCAGCTAATTTTTTAATTTTTATTTTTATAGAGATGGCACCTGGCCATATTGCCTAGGCTGGTCTCCAACTCCGGCCCTCAAGTGATCCTCCCTTCTTGGAACTCCCAAAGTTCTGGGATTACAGGCATAATCTATCATGTCTAGCCTGTCTGGGTTTTAATACCAGGGCTGCCACTGTCTTCTCTTACTCTTGACAGGTTATAGGCCCTAGGTAACATTGGAGGTACAGAGAATCACTGGGAAAATTAAAGGAGATATTGTTCAGAAAGTGCCTAATGCCTGATATGGGGAATAATGAACTACATGTATGTCCCCCACAGCTCCTTGATGAATTCTTATATGGACAGGAATTCTTAAATGACAGGAAGATGGCCAGTATTCCTGTCCATTTTCCTATCATAGATATAGATAAGGCTTTAATTTCAACTTTCTTGCTAGATCATTAGGATATTTTTATTCCTGGTTTCCTTTCTGAGGGACACAATTCATTCACAGTTTGTTTGAGTAGAAATGGAATTGTTTAGCCTCTAGCGGGATAGGTTTGTTTTAAACAGTTGCTTTGGCTATTATAAATCATCTTAAACACAGTCTTAAACAAAGATCTCTCTCCTTCTCTCTCTCTTTTGCTCTCACTTTTGCTCTTTCTCTTGCACACACACATGTATGAACACCCAAACACACACTGAGCCTTTCTTTAACTTTCCCCTGAACCCTCTCGAACTAGTTTGTATGTGTAGATACAGATAACAGGAGGTAAATTCTGCTAGCTGTGGAATAAAAAATATTTCTTTGTATTTTTCAGGCCAGCTTGTGGTTGCAATAGGAATAGAAGAGACTTCCTTACTCCAATCCCACCCTACCCCCTCATCCTGCCTCAACCAGTCATGCAGAGAGATGCTGAATGGCTGCCTGCTCTCAGGGGAATGATTTGTGGAGGTTTAATTAAAATAATTTAATCAATCAAATCCAACAAATATTCGCTGAGTACCTACCATAGTTAAGAACTTACTACATTGTATACTTACTGAAAGTCTTTATTTTTGCCTCTCCATGTCGTTGAGATCACCATTCTGATGTTCCCTTCTACAGTTTCAGTCCAAGCACAGACCCTCATATATAGTAAGGGCTTAATAAATGTTTTGTTGGATGTATGACTGTAGATAGAAGGGCAATAGGAAGTCAAGGGGGTAAGTATATTTATAACCCAAGATTTCTAGGCCTTTGGAAGACAGCAGGGTATCGCATACATTAAGAGCATGTATTTTGCTCAGTATGAATATGAATCCTCATACTTGGAGTTATTATCTGCCAAGAAGTTAATTATCCTCTTCAGGTTTCAATTTTCTTATCAACAAAATGGGAAACAACAAGTGATTTTTGAGGGCCAAGACATCGAGGATGTGCTTAGCACAGCGTCCGACATAGTGAGCACTCAACACAACTGCCTGCTGAGATTGGAGCTTAGGCAGTGCATAGTAAGCACACAACACAACAACTGCTGGTGCGGCTGGAGGGCGGTGACCGAGTTCTTGCATGGCCACCACTTAACCACCTCCAGTGCAGGCTGGTGTGCATGGGGATGATAGACCGCATGACATGAGGGTGGCTAGCAGCTGGAGCGGATGGGCCACTCCCAGATGCGAGGCTTGAAGGAGGTGGGGCTCTGTGCAGTGATCTGGTGCTGGTTGGGCATGCCTGGCTCCAGGAGAGAGGCTCATCTGACTCTCCACAAGCAGAGAAAACAGCTTAACTTCCTTGTCTGGCAGTGGGGTCCTGGGTGCATGACTCTCTCTATGAGGCTGGTTTCCACCATCTGGAAACAAGGATGTGCCTGCACCTTGGCCCTGCTTTCTTTCCTGCTCCCTTGGGTGTACAGACAGGAGGAGTGCCTTAGTGAATTCCCTCTCTGGTAGCTTTTTACAGATTTGGGAGTCCAACCACAGGCTTCAAGCACTATGTTGAAAGGGCAATAAAAATCGGAGAGAAATGGAAAGATGAAAATAAAGGGCAAAGCAGAGGGATGCGCACTCATGCGTGCGTCCATTAGCGCGTACATCTATACGTGCCTGTGTGTGTGGGAAGTGGGGTGGGCCAGGCAGTGGGAAGAGCGCTTATTCAGAAGAGGGGCTCCAGTCTCTGGTCTCCTGTGTGGCCCAACCTAGAATCCTGAGCGGAGGACCAACATGCTTTGGGAGACAAAGTTCAAATGTGTCTTCCTTTGACATTTGAATCTCAGTTCAGTGGAATTCTATCCCCTTTCCCTTGCACCCACCTTTTGATGTGAATATGCATTGTTTTTTGGTTTTAACCTTTTCTACTCCCACAGCTTTGGTTTCGGCTTAAAAAAAAAGAAAGAAATCTCCAGCCATCCTTACTCAGCTTCTGCTTTAATTATCCAATTACTGAAGCTATCCAATCTATTTATTCAGGCAATCAAGGCTTTAAATGCGTGGATTTATCATCACCTCAAATCGCCTGTCACTGTGATGGAACAAAAATAGAAAGGTAACCAGGATGCTGTAAGAGGTTTGAATCAACATACTTTTCCTGGTCAGTTCACTGTTTTCAAGACTCGTTTATGAGGAGAAAAAAATTGTAGGGAGAGGAGATATGAGAGAAGAAAGAAGTGATAGAGGGAAAGGGAATGAAGACTGTTTGAAAGGGTTTGGTCTCTGTTCCTGTAAAGATTGACCTGCAGTGTTCTTGGGTTTTCTCTAAATTCCCTCCTTTCCAGCTCTTCCCTCTGTGGATAAATTACCATTACTGTTGCCCTAGTTAAGAAATACAAACTTGGGGGTCATCAAAGGACAGAGAAGGTGGTCTATAGATCCATGCTGTTACTGGAACTGCATCTGCTTTCTGGAATCACCCAGAATAAGTCCATTTGCACATTGACCTGATTGCCTCTAACCTATTTGAAAACAGACTGTTCTTTTTAACATAAACAACGTAATTTTTTTCAGTCACTGCTCATTCACCATTCTGGACATTTTACTCCAATTTATCAACTTCTTTATTAAAAGGTGGTACCCCCAAATGTAACACAAAACTCGAAGTGTGTTACGTTCAGTATCACCTCCCTCTGTCTGGTCATGGTCTTTGGGGCTCTATTAATAGTAATAGAGCTCCAAAGCTTTTAAAGCTCCTCTGGCATGTCATATGCTGCTGTTTAGTCACATCTTCCCTGTCCTGTGCTCTTTGATTGTGAGTTTTTGAGAAACCTAAATATAGGAATTTATATTTATCCATGTACATTTTAATAGGTTAAATCAGGCCCACTTTTGCTAGCCATGGAAACCAGTTTGGATTGCAACATACCTTCCTATATATTTACCACTTTACTTAAACTGTGGTTTTGTATACTCTGCTTTTTGTATCTTCACCCTAGTTATTAAGGCTCTTGACCAGAACAGGTTGATATAGAGTCCTGGGACAAGCCACTAGGCACTATCCAGTGGATTGCTCTTTCTCTATTAATCAGTATTTTTGGAGTTTATGTCCCAGCCAAAGGCAAACTCTTCAGCTGGGAGGTTAAAGGGACTCCATCAGTGCTATTATTCTTAGTGTAAAAATAAGAACAGCAGTCTTGCCAAAATTGTCTTAGTACCATGCCAATTTAAAAGAGAACTCAATCTAGTATAGAGCCATCCTGCAACTTAAAATTTTGGTGTGTGTGATATTATAATACTAGCTGATGAAATACTCATTTTTCATGCACAGATTTCTCAATAACACACTGTGTAATAATAAATGTAATTGACCTATTCTATTCCTTTTCCCCAAAGTAATTTAAGCTCCTCTCTCATTTCCTTTGCCTTTGAGTTGGGCTAATATCTTCCTGCTAGCATGTTTCCATCTGTGAGTTTGATCAAAGCAACTTTATCTGCGAAATTTTGAAGAATCAGCTTCATCTCCACTTGGCAGCATGTGGTAAATGAAGGTATTTCTGGTAAGATTTATTGTATCATCTTCTGGGAAACTAACTCCAGAGAGGACCTGATTGCAGAGAACTGTATATTAAAGTTTCTCTTCCTATCTCCAGGCCCAGGTGGAGGGGACAAATGGATTCCTACCTGACTGCAAAATATGATACATTATTATAAACAGAGTCTTGAATTATAGAAAATACTAGTTAGCATAATTACATTACCATATTTTTATATAGAGATTATTATTCAAATACCAAACAGGCAACCTTCCATTGGAAAAAACCAATAAACACTCTCAATCCAGCCTTCCATGGTTATGTATGTCAGAGAACAAAACAATTTTAAAGTTTAAAACCCATTACATTACAAGAGCTATTCACTTCAAGTAGGTGGCAATTTGCTTCATTTTTTCACCCCACGTTTTGATAGCTATTCACCTCTATCAATTCTTATCTTGCCCATTCTTTAGAAACCAATTGCAGTTTAAAAAGTGCCCATCTATTTCTGATTGAAATCTTCACGTGCTGGTTTTTTAAACTATTTTTCAATCTCTTAATAAAATAGATTGCCTTCAGGCTGCCAGTTAGTAAACCTGCTAACAATTCAGGGATTCCAAGGACTGCTGTGGCGCTTAGGTTTTCCCTGCTCTTGGTTCTGTGCAGGAAATCCACTGGTGCTATCCACATGTGCATAACAGTTTAATGGATGGAGCTTATTTAAAATCATGCAAACAACAACAACAACAACAAAGCTCTGCAAAATTTCCTGATGAAATTGAGTTAAACTGCCAGCCTTTTTAGTGCACAAAATATAAAATAGGTCTTACAGCTTTTCCCTTTACTTGTTAACAGTTTTTATTGTTGACATCTCAGAGTCATCAGACTGACAGTGTCTTATATCATTGAGGATAACCTCCATTTGTAAGTGGGACTCTCAACCCATCAGTCTTGGAACAAGTATTTCTTAAGGACCGGCTTTGTGGCTGGCCATGAATCAAGCAAAGGAAGGGAAAATATGGTGTCTGCCTCTGAGGGTTCATGCTTTAGAGAGAGAACAATATGGGACAATCTACAGTTAAGGGTAGGGGGATGTTCAGACCATAGGGTTCCCTGTGATTCAGAGATGGGAGAAATAAGGAGTCGAGGGAATGGTCTCCTAAACCCAGAAGAACCCTCAGAGATGGGGATGAAGTTATATTAGGTGTAAAGGACTATCTGCCATTGAGGGAAGACACAGGAGCCCTGAGTAAGTATTATGAGCATGGGATGAACTGAAGGCAGTGAGAAGTTGACCAGACTAACACTGGCCCTTCCTGTGTCTATGTGGCCACCATCCATCTTCCCCCTTCCAGGAGAGGAAAAGCCACACTTTCTTTTCTTTTTAAAACTATTGTCATCCTCAGTGTCCACTCAGGATCTCCATACCCATTCCCTAGCCTTGGTCTCATCAATAATGAGTGCTTAAATGCCCTGATCTTAAGCAACATTCACATCCTCTTAGTTTGAATCCAATTAACTTAAATGTCATTGTAGCCCCAAATAATCAGGAAGCTTTAAGATAATGCAGATCAAAACAAACTTATTGATGTCATATCATGGCTGGATATTGTGTCACCTGTTTCCAGTTTTCTAGATCTTTTTAACCCAGTAGCAGGTACAAGGCGGAGAAGTGTGATAGAATAAGGTAAGTGTCACAAGAATAGTGTGGAGTCCCCTGGTGTTTCAGAAATAAAGAAAGCATGTCCATCTGGAGGATTGGAGAAAGTTGAATGCCTTTGAGATACCTCTCACGTATGACTAAGGCTTTTTATATCCATCATAGAAGAAGGCCTAGGAAGATAAGGGAAGAGTGGACGTAGGCAAGCTGAGATTGCATTCAAAGAAAAGCTCCTGTTATTTGGTTAACAATGTTGGGAATACAATATTAATTATAAAATAATATTTGTTGCATTTAACCTTCACAACAGCATGTTGAGGGGGTACTATATTCTCCACTGTATGCATGGGAAAACTGAGGCTTAGTTAGGGAAAGGATCCTGCCTGCAGTCCCTTGGTAGTAAATGTTGGGGTCAGGACTCAAACCTATGTCTATCTAATCCATATTGAGAAGGTTATAGTTCAGAGGAGGTAGATAATTGTTTTGAGGAAGTGAAAGAGAAAAGTTGATGGAGTTCATCTACAGAGAGTGAGGGAAGGATGAGGAGAATTTAGAGGAGGACAGAAAGAGTAGAAAACAGTTAGCAAATCTGTGGTGGCAAAATAGGCCTTTGGGCTCTCATTTACCTATTTATTTATTGCACAAAAAATGTACAAAAGGATTTGCTAATACATGGAAATCAAAATCCCAGACAAACTCTTGCCCCTAAGGTTAGATTTAATGACTCAGGGTCAGGCAGTAAGTCCTTGGTGACTGAGGCTATGTCTATGTGGCCATCAAATCCTATCTTAGGATCACATGTCTACTAGACTATCCTGGCATCCACAAGACCCTGTACTGGGAAGACTCAAATGCTGGGTTGATGCGGTCCAGGTCTGTGCAGGAATCATGAACATATCAAAGTGTACTCACAAAGCCGAAATCAGGGTGGAAAATTAGTGGCTGGGTGTGAGGCTGCTGCAGAGAAATTGCAGTTGGTGACTTCTCTTGGGCTCTGTCTCCCCTAGATCACTCTGGGTATTTTCTAGCAATGTGGTCAGAACTCCTGGCCTCCTTTGTTAGGATGCACATCCCCAGGGGACTCCCTGGGTTTCAGCAATTTGTGTATCATGGGCAAGGAGCTTATTAGGGACTGAAGTATTCCTGCCCAATTGTTAATTAATCACCTATTATTTTTGTAGCTACGTTCTTTGGAGGATGGTTTCATAATGGCGAATTCCCAAAACCTATACCAGAAGCTTTATTCGGTCACCTGGGTCCCGCCTGCCCCTGTGGCCTTATCATTCTGCACAGGAGTGTCTGTCATTTTCATTCCTTCATTGTCATGCAGAACACTGTACGGGGAGGGTTCCGTGCTGGGAGTGTTGTTATCCTTTCCAACACTGCTATTTTTATTATAAAAGATGGAAAAATAGTAGGAGGTTAATGGCTGCTCAGAATAAAAACAAATAGTGACTAAGAACAAATATTCAAACGAGGCATTGTCTTGCTGGGGGAATGATATTCAACAGTGAAGCCCTGCGCTCAGTTTTCATCTCCCTCTTTGACTACATAAACCAGGGGTTGTGTGTACTCAGTTCTGCCATTGTACTGCCTTCCATTGTCAAATCACCTAACAAAAGAGACTGTTGGAAGCACAAGAACCCTCCAAAGGCCAAGGGTTCTAATCAGGGAAGTTTGTTTCTTCCTCTCCTCATCGTCACACTTCCCACTTCCTTCATTTTAGTGGATGGATTGTCACCTCCTATTGGCTACCATGGGCCCCTTGCAAAGCCCAGTTCTCTGCAAAGAGGAGTGAAATGGTCATATGGACCAAAGCTCTGACCGTATTCACTGACCTGTGGGCACTGCTTGTTTCCTGTGCCTGAAGCACATTGCACACACATTATTGTGCCCATGACCTCCAGTTTCTAACTGAGCTGTCCCTTCAGGCTGAGGTGGTGCCCTAACGTCCAGCTTTCTGTGTCCCCCTGCCCAGTGTCCCCTAAAGTGCTATTCTTTGCTAGGTGACTGTCAATAGAAAAGAGGAAAGAGAACTAACATTATTTGGGTGCATACCATATGCTAGGCACTGCACAAAGTAGTTTTTTAAAAAAATAATATTTACTTCTTTTGATAATCCTGCCAGGTAAGTGTCACTATCTTTATTTCATGGGAAAGAAACTGAGGCATAGAGAGGTTTAGTAAATTAACTAGGTAGTGAGGGGCCAGGATTCATTCATTAATCAGACAATGCACACACACACAGACACACAGACCACGCACAACACACTCATCCACTTGCTAGACGTGTAATATATTTTTAAAATATAACATCTTAATTCTTTCAAAACTGACTCCAGAAATCCCTTGAGAAGAGAGTCCAATGGTCACTTAGGCTGTAGCAGAAAGAATACCATATAGAGAACTATTCCCTCTACCTAATCAGCATTAAACCTTGTGTAATTACCCCTCCAAATGAGACATTCTATGATTGTTTCCAAATAAAAGGTAAATGATCTAAAGTAGATTATATAAGATCCAATACTTCTTATCTCATGCCTGGATCCTGAACTTCATCTTTGCACATTTCCTTCTCCTCTAAAAAGTCATCAGCACCCAACCAGGGGAGTCTCACTAAACTAGAACTCACATTGGGCAAAGGCTAAAAGGTCTCCCTGGGTGTCCATTCCAGTCATCAGCTCCATGGATCCACAGATCTCCTAGTCTTTATGGGAAGTGAGCAGACTCCCTTCTTCCCACCATGTGAAGGCCACCATCTCTGCAAGCTCTCTCTTTCTCTGTCTGGTTTTCCATCTCTACTAAAAATACAAAAAACAATTAGCCAGGCATGGTGGTGGGTGCCTGTAGTCCCAGCTACTCAGGAGGTTGAGGCAGGAGAATGGTGTGAACACAGGAGGTGGAGCTTGCACTGAGCTGAGATCACACCACTGCACTCCAGCCTGGGAAATAGAGCGAGACTCTATCTCAAAAAATAAAATAAAATAAAATAATAAAATAAAATAAAATAAAATAAAATAACTTCCCTTCCACAGAAAGAGCCAGTCCAATTATCCCAATCCACACAGATCTCTCCCTTTTCTGAAATCTTTAGTTAGTGCTACGTGAGTTATTACAAGATCCCTCTCATTTCCCTTGTGTATATTTTCTTTATTCAACTTGATTTATAGCCATGAGCATATGGGATATGTATTATACTTTTCTCTAACCATTCTTAGCAAATGTCCAACAAATATAACTACTAAAAGGAAGCTGTAGTAAGAAAGAACACTGGGTTAGTGATTTGGAAACTTGTTTTTTGTTCCAGCATTGCTACTAACCAACTATGTGATTTGGGGAAAGCTACCTAACTCTCAAAGATTATTTTCCCATCTGCCAAAATGACCATGCTTTAGCAATGGACTTCTAAGACCTTTCCCAAAGTTATAACTATACTCTCATGAATTGATTAAACATTTGAAGAAAAAGGAAGTTGCCAAGAAAGACCCACCCCAGACCTGAGTTGCTTAACATCTGAGTGTTCTGAGAATGGAGGCTGAGTGTGAAACCTATGAATGAGGATCAAGAGACAGCGCAGTCAGTTAGGGCATATTATTGAGTTTCCATAAAGCCTTAAACATCACTGGGCCAAGGAATGCCTCTGATTCCTTAGGGAAGGACTAAAACAACTTCAGGAGCAAAGGGAACCAGGTTCTTTCTGTTCCTCAACTACAGACCTTTACTGGATCAGACTACAACAGCAGGTCTTCCCACTGCTAAGATCTGAACTCAGCCACCCCAGGGGAGTCACAGAAGGAGACTTCCAGGTGCCCCAGGAGGTAACTTGGCTTCGAGGATCAAACTCACGCACTTCTGTCTTTCTTTCCCTCTGGACTCTTGTCAAAGACTAGACTCCATCAGTGAGGCTGAAATGTACATAAAAATATGATTTATGCTATTGTAAGACTGGTCAGGCTGGAGAGGCCTCTGACTCTAAATGGGGGTCCTAGGAGCTACTTGCTGTCCATATCACAGTTATTTGACAACAGGGAATCAAGTGATGGGCTAGATTTCTTCCTCAAGGCTTTCCCTGTGCTCACTGTAGAATCCCTAAAGAGTGAGTGGCATAGATGGTCCACCCTGTGCCCTGCCAATTTGCTTCTGCTCAGAGAGGTCCATGCCTCTCAAATCATTTTGCATGAAGACCAACTTCCTCTGCTTAGCCATCGCCAATTTCAGTCATAGGCAAGTCTTCCACAGACTCTCCACAGTTTCCTGGCTTGATGGATTTAGACTTAAAAAACATAACAGTATTTATTCATGTAATAAGTAGACTTTTATTTCTGCAAAGAATGAAAACATATAGTATATACTGTTTTATAAGGTAATTTAAAATTTAATAATATATTGTAATCATTTCTTTATGCCAATAAATATGGAACTCTGGCGTCAATGTCTTCTCTTCCATCCTCCACTATAACTTCATTCTTGTTCAGGGAGTATGGTCCTCCAAATATTTGAAAAAGTAAATTCTGCCGTTGGCCCCTTTACTCTCTTCCTGTCTTTGTTCAGTAATGAACCATCTAGTACTCCATCTTCTCAACCAAGCACTGGTGATGAGGTTTCATGCATTTAGGAAAAGTGCATGGATTCTTCTGATGAGAACAACAGATGCCCATCTCTTCCCAGAAATCTAGAACCAATAGTGGGGACTTATCAAAAACAATCAGAGAAGCTGAATTTGTATGTTCTCTGTACTTATTAAACAGAACTCAAATGAAAGTTTTCTTTAATGTTTCTTCTTTTGTCTTGGGTAGTAAGTGGGACAGGCTGTTTTGTAATGCAGTCTCAAGGGTTGGTCCATTCTGTCATTAAACTTGCTATTTCCTTCTGCTCACCTCTCTACCCAGATGACATGTCACTTTGACATAGTTCCCTCCTTTCTACTTTTCCAAGTACAGCCTGTGTTTTAGGACCAACTAGTGGGGTATGTGCCCTGGGGGTGCCCATGACCTCCAGCCTATAGGGGTGGCTCCTCTTCAGTCCTCAAGGATTTCCCTTCCTGAGCTTCTGTGGTGCCTGCTGTCTGCTTTATGTTCATGTTAGCACCCTCTCTCCTCCACACTTCCAATATTGTGCACAGTGTTTTTTTGTTACAATCCTGCAAAACAGGTTTTTAAAGTTATGGTCTGTAGTTGCCATTTTACAGCTTCTTAAACATGGATCATTTCTATCCAACAATTTGAAGAAGTGACACCATGCCCTTGAAAGGTATTGTTTTATTTGAGTCAGATATAATATTGCTAAAATATATGCTATCCCTAGAGACTGGCTATATTGTGAATTTTCCCTGTAAATGTCTAGCTTCCATCCTTAATTCCCAGGCTAGGGCTCCTTGGGTTCAATGACATAACTTCCAGAAGAAATGCTGGTGCAGTAGCTAGGTGATTTACATATAATCTCTCCCTCTGGGACTCTCTTTTAGGAGGGTGAGTTTGTGAGTTTCTTACATGTAATGAGTGGCCTTCAGTCCAAGCAGACTTGCTATAAACAGTGAACTCTTTCTTACTTGGATGGTGTTGTGTATTTGTCAATGCTCTTTCATGCCTATTGTTTCAGATCTTCACGACACCTTTGTGGGAAAGGCAGGGCAGTTATTTTAATCCCCATCTGACAGATGAGGAGAGCGAAGCCCTGAGAGATCTTATGGCTTTCCTAAGATCACATCATTGGCAGCCAAAGCTAGAACCTGATGCCAGGATCTCCTGCTTGCCCTGTCCTCTTGGTAACACACACAAGGATGCTCTGATAGCCACCACTGTTTCCTCACATCCGTTTCTTCCCAAATATAGTCACATTTCTGATCCCATTTAATTCTCACAAGAGCCCTGGGAGAAACTCCTGGGTTGGGGTTATCTGAGTCATTATTTCCAACCTATAGAAACAAACACTGGGACTTAAGGGACTTTCCTGGTCACACATTGATCAGTGAATGGGGTGGGACAGAACTCAGTTCCCAGACCCTCCAGCTGGAACTTTGACACCTCTGTGCACACACACACCATGTACCTCAGATGTTGGTCTGCCTGCACCCAATAATTTGAAGTAGAAAGCATGACTGTCAGGAGGAACTTCAGGGTGGTCTTCAAGGGAAACACTGGCATCCAAATGAACCCATTGCTTGGTACTTAGTGACAGGCAGGTGTGCAAATGTGTAAGTGTGTGGTCCCATGGAAAGAACCAGGTGGGGAGGCCTTGGGCACAGAGCCAGGGTGAGAGCCAGGCCTCCTGATTTCCAGGAGAGTCCTTTTTTTTTTCCCTTTCTTTTCTAACCCTACTAATAGAAGAATTCAACAGCTTTCTCCATGAAGAAAAATTAAGTGAATATCAGATCAGGGGTTTCATTTCCCTCATGACAAACACAAAGAATTATTCCACATTCTTCCAGTGAAAGGGGGTGAGGTGTCCATTTTCCTGCTACTTATGTTCCTCAGCAGGTATGTCGGAATGACTGGGTCACTGTTAACTGGGTCAAATAAGCCAGTCTCAACTCAGCCAATACAAATATTTCCCCAACTCTATGTTGAGAAAAGATGAAAAAAATTGGCATCTGAAGAGGTGAAAGGAGGTGGTGGCAATGCAATCATTCCCTGAGGGAAAAGAGCAGATGGATGTATTTCCTGCTGCAATAGGTGGTCCAGAATTGGCCGAGAAGGGGCTTCCTAACACACACTCACATGACCAATGCAGGTTCCCAGAGGCAGAACCAGGAACCTGGGACAATACTCTGCTTCTCTTACAAAATGCCCAATTTTGTTCAAGGGCTGGTTTTCCATTAAGCGTGTATGTATGTGTGTGTGTGTGTGTGTGTGTGTGTGTGTGTGTATGTATGTATATATGTATATGTGTGTATATATATGTATATGTATGTATATATGTATATAGATATATAGTATATATATGTGTATATATATAGTACATATATGTGTGTATATATATACTATATATATGTGTGTATACACACACACACACACACACATGCTGATCTCATTCGGCTCTGCTTGTGTTATCAGGGATAAAACATACAAGGGTGTGCTCTGCTTGGACATCACTTTTTAAATAAACAAACAAACAGGTACCATATGACTAGTTAATGTAAAGCACAGAGAGGACCACCGCTGAAGGAGGCATGTCTTCTGCCTTCAGGAAAACCACAATCCAGTTGAAAAATCACGATTACGCACTCGATAAGTTAGATGATTACACGCTTTGTAACTTAGCTCCAAATTCAAGGCTAACAATGACAATAAGTGGCACTCAGCAAGGAACAGAAAGTTTGACTCGGGTAGTCCAGAACAGGGAGAAGCTAAACAGAGGCGGGATAGTTCAGGAAGAATCAGAGGCAGAGGTGGAACTCAAGTTGGGTCTTGACTGCTAGATAAGAGGGGTGGCCATCGATGCCGTGCCAGGGAGATGTGGAGGAGTGAGCAGGAGAGTTGGGTTGGCTCACTTTTCAGAACATAGACTTCCCCTTTGCTCCCAGGGACTTGCTCTCTTTTAATGACAAAAAGGATGTAAGAGAGTTGTGAGTAGTTCAAACATGCCTCACTTCCAGAGAGTATCCCAGGTAATAATGGAGGAGAAGCACCTTTTCTGAAGTCGGGGACAGCACACAGCTTTTCACTCAAATGAAATCCACCCCCTCCCTTTAAAAAAAAATACCCTAGGACTGTTTACCTATCCATGGGAAAGTCATAAAGGAAAATGTAGAAATGGGAATTGCTTTGAGAATCTGTAGAAGGTTGACAGAATATGTGTAAACTAGAAAGTGCTGGACAGCTTACTATTATACCTAGGGGCCTGACTGACACTGAATTCCAGGAGAGACCACGTTACTAGAAGATATTTAAAATACTTTCAGTGAGTCTATTTCATGTGTCCTTAGCAGCAGAGTGAATCTCAGCACAAGCTAGTTCAAATCCTCTCCCAGAGCAGACATGTCTTCCACAGCCATCTCTAGGGCTTGCCATCCCATCTCTGTTTTTGTGACAGCCTGTGCCACTGATGTACTGGCAATTCATCAGGGGGACTAACAGGGACAGAACCAAGGATACAGTTCTCAGGTGGAGGAGCATGCAGAATCATGGTGCTGAGAAGATGGAGAGGAGACAGCACTGGTAGGGTGGATGGCATTCATACATGCTTTGCCTATTTCAAATCAAAACCAAAGCCTGGGACTGGTGCCCTCATCAAATGTTGTTATAGCCATGCCATGTAGAATTAACAATCTTAGAATTGTTACATATCTCTTACATTAATTCTAGGGTTGGAAGGCCATCTTAAAATAAGAGTGGGCTATGGAGGGTCAGCATTTGGATGGAATATTTATTACCATTGCCAGGACCATTTGTCCATGGCATATTTAGAAGCTTCTTATGAAAACTTTTATTCGTGCCTTGAAAATCTCAACTCCTAAAGGGAACTGGATGTGCAGTCAAGACACATTGAGATAAAAGTTAGCTTTGCCATTAGGCAGCCATGTCTGGGATGTGCTTGGTGAAACATGGGTGCTCTAAGAGGGTTTGCTGAATGATTAGGAAACTCAGGGAAAATCTCTTCAGTTTCACCATCTCTAAACCAAGAGAAATAGCCCCCAGCACTCCCAACTGACAGGCCTTCAGCAGGATAAAAATGAGGTAATGGTTTTTAAATATACTTTACAAGTAAAAATTTCTATAGAAATATAAGTGGTTGCTATAGCAAACTTGGAAGTTGGAGTTGGAAAAGGCCTGTGACTAGGAACTAGGAAATTTTGGGTCTTGTCCAGCTCAGCCCATAAACGATAAATCTTGAAAAGTCTCTTACCTTCTTGGAGCTTCAGTGACCTCATTTGTAAACACGTTATAATAGAGTCTGTTTACTTCACAGCATGTTTGAAAGTCAATGGAGATGATTATAAATGGCTCTCCTTTGATGAGCAATGAAAAAGCAAGTGTGGGTGTCCACCTACTCATGCCTGTGCACAGTTGTGATTTTAGAAACAGTTTGCTCCTGGAGAAGTGAAGCCTTGATGGGAAGCCCCTGGGCCTGCTGACCCTACCCCCTTTCTTCCTGCCTTCAGGCATCCACACCATGTGTTTCCCATTAGCTTTGCCTTAGCATCCCCCCTTCCATGTTCTTTGCAATCATTGCTCACCATCTCCCACAGGCACAGTCTCCATAGAACCCCAGAATATGAGCACTGGATGGAGTCTCACTCTACAGAACCAACCCCTTTATACATGAGGATATGGAGGCTCCGAAAAGTCATGTAGCTATTTGATGGCAAAGTTAGAACTGGATCCCAGGTCCAAGTTCATAGTTCTTTTTAGTGTCTGTGATCCCAGGCCTTTTAAACAGTGTACTTCCCAACCCCATTTTATTACAGGAAATCCCATCTTCCCAGAATTCAGCTAGGATCCAGAAGTGATGCTGTTACGTGACGTCTTCAACCTCCCTCCCTCTGCCCATCTCAGGGACCTCTCCAGAAGCCAGTCCCAAGAGTGGCATTGGTTAGCATATCTCAAATACAGTGGGAGAAGCCTCTTAGCTCAGCTCCAGTTATTTCTCTATTGTAGAAAACCAAGAGAGAGATGAATAAGGAATGAAAACATACTCCACATGGACTCAATAAATCTTGGGTGAAATGATGCTGTCTGACAAGGTAAATAAAAAATGCAGCACTCAAGCACCAGCACTGGGGATGAGATGAGGACACACCAATTACCAGCACTTCTGCCTGCTTTGCTTTGTTGACAATAAATATCAAGTTATGTCATCATCTGTGGGTTTTTGTTCCTATTAGTATAGTTGACTAGATATGCTGGATGTCATATTTATGATGTATTTAACAAAATTATTTTTTTAAAAAGATTTTTTTTTATTTGTGACTGTCAAAAAGCTTGATTTCCAGCTCAGAGGTCATCTTTGTCTATGTCCCTTGTCAGTCACATTTTTTACCCAAGCTTCATTGTCTTCACCCATAAAATAGGTGGGATAGGCCAGATGCTCACTAAGGAACCCTCTGGTTAGAATGTTCTGTTGCACCTCCTCTGTTTGTGCATGTTGTCATTAAATAGGACAGCATTTTACAACATTACTGGCCACTCTGAGCCCCTGCAGAAGCTCCTCCACACAGGGGGTCCTGAGCAAAGGGCTCTCCCCAGGACAGGACTATGAACTCGCTGTCAAACTGTCGCAGAGATTTCTCTGTACTTCAGCTACTGCTTCCTGACTATTCATATAACCACCTTTCAGAAGGATATGATAATATAGCATCTTGATTGTAAAACTGCTCATAAAACATTATGGGATTGTGGGAAGTTCGGGTCCCTGTAAGGACGGTGCTGGAATACAACTTGAGCCTGAGCGGAAAATAAATAATGAGCTATTTGAAACCGTCTTCATTCCCCAAATGGAGCAGAGAGAGTGAAAATAAATGGAAATACCATCAATTACTGTTTTTCCCAATGGCAAAGTGATAAGATATTTAAACGATGTGTGACACAATGGAGTGTGAGTTCTAATGGAGGGGCTCCTGTCCTTAACGAGGTAGAAAAGTAAGATAGTGGAAGAAGTGGAAAAGTTAGGAGGGGACAGCAAAAAGAAGCAGAAATTAGCACTGAGGGAGCCGGGCTAAGCCTACATGTGACAGCAGTGTACAAATCGCACTGATGAGGTGTAATTGCCTGTCCTCTAAATGGAGACTCAGAAAGGGAAGACAGAGGACAAGAAGGAGATGAGGAAATGAAAAGCAGAGAGGTGGCCTATAAAAGCTTAGACAGCAACAGCTCTAACTGCCTTTTCTGGGCCATGAAAAGTTCTGGCTCCATTGATGGAGCAGGGGTTCTGGCCGTGGCTCAGTCTTGACATTGGCCTTCTGTCTCTCTGTAGGATCCTCCCCAGAGGCCTCACCTGTCCATGTTTGGGGCCTCTCACAGGCTGCTCTGTGGGTGATTCCTGAATCTGCCCCTCTCCCTGGCTCAGCCGTCTTCTGTCCCTAACCTTCCACTAGTCCTCTCCACGCCTCCCCTTCCACCTCACGCTTAGCCTAAATCTGTGTTCCTCACTTCCTCATGCACCCTGGTTCCCTTTTCCATGTTTTCATACTATATGAGTGGCACCAACTATTTCTTCTAACTCCCTAGACTCAAATTTGCCTCTCTTCTTCTTACCTTCCCTGTCTTACAGCTCCCAAATCCAGTTATTTTTTGCTAGTGAAATCTCTATATTCACAGACCACACCTTTATTGGGACCTTCTCATACCTCATTTTCAAACCACTGTAATAGCTGCTGCAAACAGGCCTTGGATCCAGCTTCTTCCTGCTTGAGAGTACCCAGTGTCCTCTTGCCAGATTGACAGTCTTCCAACACCTCATTAGTCATGCTACTCCCCTGCTCAGAAACCTGCTATAGCTCCCTATTTCTAACAGACAAGACCCTCGGGCCTCTTTGGCCCTACCTTCTCTGAGAGATCACATTTTCAGCTTCTCTTCTCCATGTTGTACTTGCTATTCAACAAATACTCCTATCTTTCCCACTCATTCTCATTTCTGTGGTATAACCTCCTGTCCCATTGGATGTGTCATATTCTATTCAAGTCCAAAGTCAAGACCTCCTCCTCCAGGAAGCCTACCTTGTCTGCTGAAAATAGTGCTGATGCACTTTTGTCCAGGCATGATCATTCAGCGTTGGATTAGTGGCTGATTCACATTGACATTTTAAGGTTTGGGACCAAACATAATTAACTCTTAGGCATTCATCTCTCCATTCTTTGAGGCCTTCAGAGGTCGTGTAGGTCATCCTACATGCTTGGTGAGGAGAGCATTGTGGGTTCACTGGTAGTCTGTGATTGGTCAGCTGCATGGCCAGTGCATTCATTTGCACAGATTTGACTTTTGAGAAAAGGATACAAAGATCAGCCATTACAATGTAAATTTTTGAGGAAATTTAAATTAAGTAAAAATACGGACCAAAAACATCGCCTTAACACATGGCCACATAGCTGATGCTGCTCGTTCTATCTTCAAGATGTTCTGATGAACCCTTAGGTCTAGCACACTCCTCTCTGCTGGTACATGCCACTCATACCTGTTGAAATGCGTGCTTCCCAAGAATCAATTGTGTTTGTTCCCAAACCTTTTTATGCTGGTTGTAGTTATAATTTATTTAAATATTATGCAAAACTGTGAACTATGAATGCAAAGAGGGTTGTTGATTTGACAAAAAAACAAGTTGATTGCTTTGGAAAGAGCCAGTAAATGGGAAATTGATTAAAAAAAAAAAAAGGATCGATGTTAAATAGAATGTGGGTGGGACAACTCTAAGAGATTAGTTAAAAATAATAAAATTCTGCACGTAGATAGCTCATAAAATACATTTTAGGTTCTTGATTCACTTTAAAGAACCCAAAGCTAGATAATGTAAATAATGTATTCTTGGAATGATTTGTGGAGGGAAAGGATGCAGAACTTTAATGAGAAGAAGTTTATTTAAGAAAAAATCAGGCCGGGTGCGGTGGCTCATGTCTGTAATCCCAGCACTTTGGGAGGCTGAGGTGGGCAGATCACGAGGTCAAGAGATTGAGATCATTCTGGCCAACATGGTGAAACCCCATCTCTATTAAAAATACAAAAGTTAGCTAGGCGTGGTGGTGCATGCCTGTAGTCCCACCTACTCGGGAGGTTGAGGCGGGAGAATTTCTTGAACCCGGGAGGCGGAGGTTGCCGTGAGCCAAGATCACACAACTGCACTCCAGCCTGGCAACAGAGTGAGACTCCGTCTCAAAAAAAAAAATAATAATAATAATAAAAATAATTCCACCTGTACCAAACGATTGGCAAATAAGTGCATATTTATAAGTTTAAAATCATGTTTAAAAGAATTTGACCATCCTTTCCTATTATCAACCATTATTCCAGATTATATCAGATTAAAGGAATTCTTTACCACTCAACCTCAGCATGGGTAGAACATTTTCCAGTTTGGGGGCAGAAACAGGGTAGTATCATCTTCTGAATACCAGAACCTGACACATCCACATGTGAGCTGCAAAGATACACCTCTGTGATACTTAACCTCCAAGACATGCCCCCTTCCCACACCATCCTCGTGTGGATCTGTGGATCTTTATTTCCTGGAGTTCACACCTTGTATAATTCTCACTCTCATTGAATCAGGCTGTCCTATGTGATCAATAGAATACACTAGAAGTTATGGTATATGACTTCCAAGGCTGGTTCATAAAGACGTCTTGCTTAGTATCTTGAATAACTCACTCTGAGAGAAGCCAGCCACCATGTTTTGAGGCCACTCAAGCAACCCTGTGGAGAGATTCGGGTGGGGAACTGAGGACTCTTGCCAACAGCCAGCACTAACTTTCCAGCCATGTGAGTGAGCTGCCTTGGAAGTGCATCCTCTAGTCCTGGTCAAGTCCTCAGATGACAGCCATAGCTGACATCTCATGAGAGATCCCAAGCCAGAACTACCTGGCCAAGCTGTTCCCAGATTTGTGACCCATGGAAACTGTGAGAAATATTAAATGACTATTGTTGTTTTAAGCCATTATATTTTGGAACAATCTGTTATGCAGCTTTAGGTAACATGGAATTTCCCAAACAGAGCAGCTATTTCTAAGCAGGGAGAACCGGAGGTGAATCATATTGAGTACTATTAGCAAGAATGCCCACTCTACTGAAAGTGCAAAGGACACACTGATTTTTGTCCTCATTAATTACATAAAATAAAACTGGAGATTTTTTTTTTTTTTTTGAGTTGGAGTCTTCCTCTGTCGCCCAGGCTGGAGTGCAGTGGTGTGATCTCAGCCCACTGCAACCTCTGCCTCCTGGGATCAAGTAATTCTCCTGTCTCAGCCTCCAGAGTCACTGGGATTACAGGCGTGCGCCACCACACCTGACTAATTTTTGTATTTTTAGTACAGGTGGGGTTTCACCACATTGGCCAGGCTGGTCTCGATCTCCTGACCTCAGGTGATCCGCCTGCCTCAGCCTCCCAAAGTGCTGGGATTATAGGCATGAGCCACCACGCCCGACCTGATAAAATGTTTTAAAAGTTCATTTTGAACTGCTTCTGGGACAGAATGACAACACAAAACAAGTTTTCTCAATAGTTTGATATTCAAGAGTAAGGAAGAGTGAAGGGGCATCAGAGAGAGAATCATTTTCCTCCTGTTCATACTTTAAGCCTCACCTACACACATCATACCCCTTAGCAGAATAAAAGGGGCCTGTGAGAAACTTTGGGGATCATCCCAGTCAGGGTGTGCTTTAGGAACCCTGGGTTCCCGGCACAATTCCATGAAGATTCTCCACCACATAGAGTGAATATGTTTCTCTTGTTAGTTTCAAAGGATAGCACTCTTATAATAATAGCAGGCCTAATAGCAGCAATGCTTACTGGCAGGTTGGTCATAGCTTAGTGAGCACTGGTCAGAAACATTTATCACTTTTTTCCTCTTCACAAAACACACATTAAATCTTGAGAAATCAAATGAAGAGACTCTAGCAGTATCTTTGGTGCTTCAGCCTGAACAGCCCAAATATAACCAATTGCATTTTCCTAACCGTCCTCCCCTCTGATTGCTAAGCCATGGATCTGATGCTTGCACCAGGAGTGGACCCTCTCCCCTCCTCTGACACTGCACTTCAAAATCACTACCAAAATGGAGATGCCTTTTTTTTCCTCAGAAGGAAAATAAGAGAAAGCTAGTTGAACAGGGATTAGAGGTAAATCCACCTCCTCAGATGATGAAACAACTTCTAAAATGTCTTCGTTCGTCCTTCTCACCCCAGTCTCATTTAAATTTTCTATCACTTTGATCACATCAATATTTTGCTTAAGAACCTGAAATGACTTTCTGATGCCATCCAAATAAATGCCCAGGCATATTAGGAAGATATTCAAGACCCCTGGTAACCAAGCTTCAAATCTGACCTGAAGGTACCGTTCCAGTTTTATCTCTACTGACGACTCATGGATGTGAACCTGGGTCCTTGACAAATGCTGGCTTTTCTCAGACTCTACCAAACACTCATATGTCTCCTACTTCACTCCTGCTATCCTCTTTCCCTGGAATGCTCTCCTTCCAATCACCAGCCTTCTACACTTTCTTGTAGCTTAGTTGTTTCAACACCACATGCAACAGACGCCCTCTTATGACAATGCCAGAGATGGCTGCCACCTCTAGTGGCACTTCTGTGCCACTCACAAGACATTTGTTTCTTATTAAGAGTGCAGTAACTATCCAGGTTCTTTATGTCTCGTCTCCCTCCAAGCTTGTGAGTACCCAGAGGATAAGAATCAGATTTCTTTTATTGCTGTTCCCCCCACACACCTAGCAGTGTCCTTGGCATTTACAACTACCATAATATGATGAATAAATGAATATTGTTGCTTTTCTAAAACTTATTTTACTGACTCATATATACATTTATTTCAAAGGAAAAGCAACAAAAAGACAAGAGCAGGGATGTGACATGAGATGGATGGTGCTATTTCCCTGAATAGCTGCACCCAAGTCTTCCCACTTAGCTGTTTTTCATCTTCACATCCAATCATTTAGCTTCATTTGATTGGAATGACTACAGGTTCCTCTTATAAAAGAGTGTTAGAAGTTGGCAATATTGGTGGCTTCCTAGAAGGTATGACTAGGTGGGAACTTAAAAAAGTCCTTTCCTCCTTGAATGCATTCTTTAAAAAATATTATTTACTGATTTCTGAAATTCCTCCATTTGAGATTTTTTTTTAAGTAATTATCTTCAGGAGAGGTCACACTTAAGGCAATGACAATTATTATCAACAATAACGATGATAAAAGGTGATATGGTTTGGCTGTGTCCCCACCCAAATCTGCTCTTGAATTTTAGTCCCCATAATCTTCACATGTCATGCAAGGGACCTGGTGGGAGGTAATTGAATTGGGGGCGGTTCCCCCCATGCTGCTATTCTCCTGATAGTGAGTGAGTTCTCAGAAGATCTGATGGCTTTATAAGGAGCTTTTCCCTCTTTGCTTGGCAGTTCTCCTTCCTGCCATCATGTGAAGAAGAATGTGTTTGCTTCCTCTTCTGCCACGATTGTAAGTTTCCTGAGGCTTCCTAAGCCATGCAGAACTGTGAGTCAATTAAATCTCCTTCTTTTATAAATTACCCAGTCTTGGGCAGTTCTTTATAGCAGCGTGAGAATGGACAAATACAAATGGCCTGTAAGAAATAAGGTCTAGGGACCAAGGAAGTTGAAAAAGAAAAGGTAAAAGAAAGGATCACCAAAAAGGGGAAGTGTTAAGATGCTTAAAAAAAACCCCATAATTTGTTGAATTTGCTGAAGCCTGGCTTTATCCCTAGTAGAATTTTGTAAGGTGACTTTTCACAGATCAGAAAACCTCTCTGCTGATAAATAACCAAAATCCTGATATTTTTTAAACCCACCAACCCCTAGCTCTAACATAATTGCCTATGATAGAGAGCCAGCTGTATCCTTGTGATGTAATTATTTTCTTTCTAGGGTCCATCTTGCGGATTTGTGTGGATGTGCACAAGTACCACATGTGTGTACACACACGTGCTCCATAGGCACTGGGACCTCGCTGATCCTTTACACCCCACTCATTTTCCCTCCTCAGATGATACATCAGAAGCACATTGTGATTTCTGGGTGTGTATTAAAACATGATCTATGGAAAATAAATTAACCTAATAAAATATATTCAAATGATCAAATGTCCTATAAAGGTAATTTGAGAGAGGAAAAAACCTGCTGGTTTTGATGGCAGCTTAAAATATCTCTTATTTCTCATAAATAATACGGTAGTTAAATACCCATTTTACTTATATCATGTTAATGAGTTCTAGATGCCATTCCCAAATGCTCATCCTTCTCTCATTAAGCCTTCCCAATAATAGTGACAATAACAATAACAACAATGATCATATACAACAAAGACCAAAGATCACTGGAAAGTTTTCTTCCCCAAAGAGGAATTTTTGAATGGCTGCACTCTGCGCCTTGAATGCATTATGGTTAATTTCAGATTCCGAGGATGATTAACTCTGACTGGTGGAATAAAAGGCCACGACCAATTATTATTCAGAAAAATCCTGCTGTTTAGCCAAAGAGCGTACAGTGCAATCCAGTCCTTGATGTTCCTGTGATAAACGCTCACATGACAAGGTTATTTGGTGTAGAGCAGCCAGAGTGGTTGCTATGGCAACCTGTTCACAATGCTCATAAATCTGAGGTGTAGTTATCCTTGCTGTGTATGCAAAAAAAAAAAAAAAAAGGAAACAAAAAAGGAAACCTACAAAGCCAACTCAAGTGGTTTAATTTACAGTGCTGCCTTAAAAAAAGAAAAAAATAGGCAAATGAATTCTAAGATAATAGACCTCTCCATATTATATTCTTTCACAATACAGGCACTTAGGACTCAAACGCTCTCTTCAACGCCAAAAAGACTTTTAAGATAATCATTATGGTAGAGAATATAGGTCATCATTAGCACCAGGAGTGACAAAAATAAAAGAGGTGGTTAGAAATTCGAGTTTGCCAGCATCAATTGTTTTCCCTTGGCGCAGTTAGCAATGCAAACAGCTGTTGACAGCACATCAGGACAGGTACATCGATGGGGAACAAATGGCTTTTTCAGTCGCTGCTTCCCAGAAATGATGGGCTGTAAGTCTAACAGGCCAAAGGTCAAGCAGACAATGATGAAATATCCCCCACAGACCCAATGTCAGGTGGTTCGATGTTAAGATCGCTGTGATATGGTCTCTCAGCCTTGATTTCAGCTCCACTCAGCCCCATTAGAAATAAGGGCAGCCTATTAAACCAGCAGGTAGCAAGGCTTTTCTCATTTCGGGTATAAGCTCCCTGGCCACCTGGCTTTTTGACCCCCTGTGGTTTATTTCAACCATTATCAGTTTTCTAAATAAAAATTGGGGAACAGTTGAGCCCATTGAAGTGGTAATTCTTTAACACTTGGAAATGTGAGAGCCATTGGCTCTGCAGTCATCAAGAATGACAGAGAAGTCTAATATGATAATGGCCTGGTTCAAATTAAGACTAATATTTGACTTATGCCATCAGATAGTGAAGATGGCTCGATTACAGAGCTTTGATGGGGAAATTCATTATGTCATCAAGTCCCAGGGTATACACACATACTGGGACACTCCAAGAGTACAAGAAATGACACATTTGTTTGAGCAATACAGAAGTGCTCAGTCGTATAAAATTGGAGAGAATGAGGATAGAAACACACCCCCTGACCCCAGGTCTCAATTCTGATCCAAAGCATGTTTCTTTACTAGTCTGCAGTAAAGAGTAACTACAAGACTTGGGGGCTTCCAGCAACCTGCACGAAAGGTCAAGAATATCCTGACCAAGAAATTTTTGGTAGCTACATACCTGGCTCATGTCAGGGTTAGCAAGTATATACACAATTTATAAAAATTTGCTTCACTTAAATTTTCCAGCATGTCTAAAATTCTCAAAATAACCTTTTTGGTTTAAGATACAGCATCTCCTTTAAAAAAGCAGGCACCCTTGTAATTTGGAGAGGTTAAACATGTAGACTTTCATGCAAAGAAGCTGATCGGACTCTGCTGAAAATAAATTAACACACTGGGCACTTAGTATGTGAGGAGCTCTGAAAGGAGAGAAGGGAAGGCTGGGGAATTACAAAAGTTACTTGCCTCTGAGACTATGAGATCCTTGAGGGCATGAACTGTACTTTTCTATATATATATATATATATATATATATATATATATATATTTTTTTTTTTTTTACGCTCGGTGCCTTGCACCGCACCTGGCATGTGAAAAGGCCCACTGTATCCTAGATGAATTGATGCAATTATAAAATTATTTGAAAGAAGACTAACTTTCCTCTGAAAAAGTGGATTGCATGAATGCCCAAATATTCTTTTTTTTTTTAAGTTCTGGATTACATGTGCAGAATGTTCAGTTTTGTTACATAGGTATACACGTACCAAAATATTCTAATTCAGATTCTGTTGGATACATGGATGGATAGGTAGGAAGAGAGAAGAGACTGATGAGAGAGGGAAGAAGGACTTTTCTCCCTTTTAAATTGTTGGGTACTTCAGAAGAGTCCCCTGTTCCCAAACAGTTCATTATTCTAGAATTCCAAAAATCATGGAAGATTCTGAGTGTGCCATTATTATTTAGCTAGGGCCACTTCCCAGCTGAGAATCACCCAAGGTGAGGTTTTAGTTGAACTTCATGCACTGTACCTCAGCTCAGTCCAGCAATTGTGCATGTTGAGTGCCAGGCTTGACATCCATGCCTGGAGTGGCACACTTTTCTCTTGGCCAGGTCAAAGCTCATTCACCACCCATATGATAATAAATCAGAGTTTTCCAAGACTGACTTGCTCCATTTGCAGTAAATAATAAATTATGCAGGTCCTTATTCTCACAATACTCCACAGCAAGGAATGATTCATGTCCCTATTTGGTAATACTGATGTGGACTTTCTTTAATTGAATACTTTTTTTGTACGAGGCACAGGTCTCATTCTTCAAATATAGACCTCCACGTGATTTTCTTTTTTTTTTACGCTCTATTAGTATACCTGTGGGGGTTTTCACTCACATAATATTTACCTGTATGATCTCATTTGATCTTCACAAAACACCTAACAAGCAGGCACTATGGTTACCTTATTTTATACGTGAGATAACTGTGGCTTAGGTACCAAGTTAAGTACTTTTCCTAAAGTCATACAGCTAGCATGATAAGTTAGTAGAAATGGGATCCAAACTGTTGCTTCAGAACTCCACACATTAACTACCATGGCTCAGCACTGGCAGAAAGAGAATTTCTGATCAACTTGCCAAACAACAATGCTGGAGCTCAAGAAGCCATGTTTCGTAAGACAGTGGAATTTCAAATCTACAATGTTGCCATGACCTTATAATTCTGACTGCTCCTTCTTAAGCAGGGAGAGGAAAGAGTGCCACACTGAAAGTCAGGAACTAGGGTCTGAGTCCAGATGAGGAGAAAGAAGAAAGAAAACGGAGCTGAAGAATGCCAAAATAGTATCACTGCTTGAATATATTAGTTTTAACTCAAGCACTCTTTGATGGAACCACCTTCATTGGCCTCCTCATCATATTGCAACACAACCCTACAAGTATCTCTACAATTTTACTGTCTCAGCAGGAGGCCCTATTGCTTAAAAGAAAAAAAGTCCTTTTCTGGATGTAGAAACAATTGAGTTTCTTGTTACTAAAGGGAGGAGATTCTCCGCAACAAATTTGCTTAAGAAAACCTCCCGATGCCCTTTCTCTGTAGATCTGTAGATAACATGATAGCATTAGATAACATAAGCTACTCTGTGTAATTATCTTTTTATACATAAGCATTGGCTCCCCTCCTGGACCATAAGCTTCTTTCGGATGGACCCTAGGTTCTATTTGTCTTTATCTTCTCCCTAATGATTGACAAAAAGCATTTCAGAAAAACAACAGTAATGAAAAACGGACAACCTTAAGATGGTTTCTGATTTCAAGAAACCAGATTCTTTGAAAACAAATCTGGTCCCCGCACTTTTGCTTTCTCTTGAAAAACCAGAAGATCTGGTGACACTTGTCCCAAATTCTTGCATGGAGATGAGCAGTAGCTATTCCCTTCAGTTAGGGCTTGCCACACTTCCACCCTGTCACCTCCACTTACTTAGACCACCTGCCTGGCCATATGAGCATTTGGTTGTGAGAACCCCACAACAAAGAGGTGAGAAACAGGAAAGGGCAAGTCCCTATGACTCAGCCTTACAGCATTCTTCTACCATCTCAGGGGTGGCTGCTGTGATACAGCTCATCCACCATGATGTGTGCTAGTGACTTCTGTCCCACTTGAGTACACTTTATCTATCTTACTGTTTACCCCCAGAGAGAAGGGGTCCTCATGGCAAGAATATTTCAAGGGACTGAGGAGAAGCAGATGATTCCTCTGGGGGGTGAGGTTCTGGGCTGGCTCTAGAAGTGATGATGAAAGCAGGCACATGAGCCCTTGCTCCTGTGAAAGTCCCCAGTTTGAGCCAAGAATATCAGCCAACCTGGCAGGACCACAGGTTGCATTTAGGAATATAAGTTAGAAGACCTGAAACTTTCCTGTTTTCTCTCTTCTCAGTTCTAGTGACTGCTAATTTACTAGTTATTAGGTCAAAGAGTTAAGCAATGAAAAGCACGGTGAACAAAAATACCTATGGGAGGTACACTGATTTCCCAGGATAAAACATTGTTCACTGTGGAAAAAAATCCCCACAATACTATGACCTTGTAAAATCTCCCAGCAAAGCTGTCACCCCATGAATAAGACCTTGGCCTTACTCTGCAATCTTCATTCAGTTGTTCAGCAGCTTATGCCAGGCAAGTCTTGAGGCAGTGGGAGATGCAACAGCAAACTAACAACAACAAAATACTTGGTTCCTGCTTTTAGGGGCATATGCTTCATTTGGGGAGACAGATACTGATTAAATAAGTGCCAGGATGGAAGGAGAAAGGAATCCTATGGACGGATTCAGACTTTTTCTTGGTTGGGAGTGCATGTGTTCATGGAGGAGAGGGTGTCTCCAGGGAAAGCTTCCTTGAAATACTGGAGTTTCAGGATACTGGCTGATACTGACTCAATCATCCATGACATCTGTTCTGGTGCTCTTCACAGAGTAGGTGCTGCGGACCTTTGTACCAGGGGATCCCACCAAGACCACCATATTAACTGCTCCTCATCTCTAAGGTCAAGCATCTCATCTTCTGGTGGCTTTATCTGACATTCACTGTTCTTCCCTGGCTGAGTGGTCCTCAGTGGCCTTCCCATATTTTCCTCTCAGCTCACTACACATGTGGTAATTGTAAGCCAAGGACTTATCATCTTTATTACCTGTGCATCGGAAACTGGGTGTATGTTTTGGGTGAATGTTGAGTGGATAGCGATCTAGAAGAAAAGAGAGATGGCACGGTTTGCACTTTGGGTGGCTTGAGGGAGCTGAATCTGTGTGATATGGGGAAGACTCAAATCTGTTTTGTGCTCACAAAGGTGAAAAACGATATCCCTTCACTGTGCTTCTGTTGTATAATTTCCTTCACTAGAGTTTTTAACAAAATAAAGTTTTATTTCTAAGGCTAATTCCTTTGTGTCCTAAGACTGAGTTGATGAGATTCCATTTATCTTAATAAAAGCAAAGGAACTAATTTAAATTAGCAATTTCTGGTGAGATTACCAGGCTAAATACAAAAGCACTGGATAAATTTACACATTAAGCTCCTGTGTAGTCCATGTCTAGCACTTAATCACACACACACACATAGCACACAGAGTCAGTTCTCAATGTTTGCAATCATTATGTTTTATAAAGTTGCTGCAAACACTGAATTAGTGAATTCTGAACTATTGCTCGTAAGGGAATACAGGGTTAGGTTCCTGCAAGCTTCTTATCACATCATTGTTGCCAATCAATACATAATCTTGCTTTATGTGTGTTTCTGTTTAAAGTATAAGAGTGTAGTTAAAGTATAAGAAAAATAGAACCTAGGGTCCATCTGAAAGAAGTTTATGGTCCTGGATGGGGAGCTAATGCTTATGTATAAACAGATAATTATACACAGTAGCTTGTGTTATCTAATGCTATCACGTCATCTACAGATCTACAGAGAAAGGGCACTGGGAGGTTTTCTTAAGCGAGGAAGTCTGCCAATGCAAGAAGGCAGAGCATAGCTTTATTTATCTCAGCTGGAAATGTGCACATCAGGTGACTCAAAGTTTTCACCACTCTGCACATGTCTGTGGAAACACTGGATTATTGATTTGGGGGTCACAAATACATTTTAGGGAGTAGGCTAATTTGTAAATATGGAATCCACAAACAATGATGATCAACTGTATATATAATATAGAGAAATACACCTGTATACTTAAGTATATTCCTCAGTGCTGTAGCTGGCTGTAGTGAGTGCCCAATAAACAGTTTTTACATAAATAAGATTTGTTATTCAATATAGTAGAAAAATAAAACATTTTAAGAGAGAGTTTATATATATATCATATGAGGTTAGGCAGTAACGCATATTTAGTAGTAAATGCTACTAAACCTAATTTAATTTTTTGATAATGCACCTCATAGATTTATATTAAGACCATCCCAAATGACCTGCCCATGAAAGTTTATGAAGTTTGCTTAAAGTAAAACAAGTTATCTAGAACAAGAGTCCCTGACCCCTGGGTCATAGACTGGTACTGGTCTGTGGCCTGTTAGAAACCGGACCACACAGCAGAAGATGAGCGGCGGGCAAGTGAGTGAAGCTTCATCTGTATTGACAGCCACTCCCCATCACTTGCATTACCACCTGAGCTCCGCCTCCTGTCAGATCAGCAGCGGCATTAGATTCTCATAGGAGCGTGAGCCCTGTTGTGAACTGTGCATGGGAGGGCTCCAGGTTGTGTGCTCCTTATGAGAATCTAATTCCTGATGATCTGTCACTGTCTCCCATCACCACCCGCTGCCCCCCAGCATAGGACCAACTAGTTACAGGAAAACAAGCTTAGGGATCCCACTGATTCTACATTACGGTGAATTGTATAATTATTTCAATATATATCACAATGTAATAATAATAGAAATAAAGTACACAATAAATGTAATGTGCTTGAATCATCCTAAAACCACCCTCCAACCCCGGTCTGTGGAAAAATTATCTTCCACACAACCAGTCCCTGATGCCTAAAAGGTTGTGGACTGTTGCTCTAGAATATACTCCTCATGCTGATTTAGAATAAAACAAAAGCACAAATCATTTTTTACTTGATCTTTTTGCTTCTTCATTTTCATCTAAGGACCATCCTGTAAACTGTCTTCTGGGAAAGGGGTGGGTAGGAGGAAAGCTCCCCAGGAGGCTCAGTGGTTGGGTTGATTTTGAGAGGGGAAATGTCGTCTTGTGAAACTTTACGGTTTTCTGTTTTATTTTCACTATCAAAGTTATAAAAGGGTTTAATAATACTTTGGGGAGTGAAGAATTATGGATGCCAAAAGGTTTGCTAATAAATATCTTGCTTTATATTTAGAAAAATACAGACTCAAGAATGAAGATTACGGTAGGCAGAGAAGAAGGGAAGGAAGGTAGAGAGATGACGGAGTAGCCGTAGGCATTGACATGACCCCCAGAACCAATTTTCAGTGGCCCAGGGTGAAAATAATAAAAACAAGAATAGTAGCTCACACATACATCACACTCTCTTGCTCTCATCTAAAATATCTTGCTTAGTACTCATAACAGCTCCTTGCAGTAGATTATGTCTACATTTTAAGAATGAGAACCTGGAGACTCAGATGCATTTGTTGACTTCTAGGATCTCAATTCTAGCAGCAGAGTAGAAAGCAGGACTTGTCAGTCCAAGTCCAGGGCTCTTCTACTTCTCCTTGGGGGGCTGCAACTGGACAGCTGGAGCTCTCAGACAAATGTTTGACACACAGAAGTTAAAAGGTATGTGAACGGTCCAAGAAACTGAGCCAATCCCAGATTGCATTTTGTTAAGTTCACAGGCTCAGAGCATTGGTTAATAAAACGACTGTTGTGCTCAATGTACACCTCTCATTTTTAAGATAAGAAATTCAAGGCCCAGAGAGGTAAAGTAATATACACAAAGTCACACAGCTAGTTGGTCATAGAACCTGGTCTTGAACTCATGTATCCATATTCTGGGTCCTCTTTTTGTCAGCCTTACATTATTTCTACTCTCATCACACTCTTTTTCTCACACTTTCAACAGCTTCAACAATTTTGAATTTTCACGATGTAGTTTCAAATACATGGTGTGGGGAAATCCTCTCTGTGGTCCACAGATAAGAATTGCAGACTTCCCCGCTGTATTAATTAATGGCCTCATTAATCCACATTTAACTGTTCAATTAAATGTTTAATGTAACACTTAGAGGTGCCATCAATTACCACGTGAGAAGCAACTCTTGGAGATCCCAGGCTGGAAGCTGCTATGTACATGTGCAAAATTGCTGTCATTCAGACACACCATGTCATCTCATGGTACTCTATTCAGGGAAGGTGTGTTACAGTTCCAGCTTCACTCAGGGTGGATTAAATCAGTGTGTTGGAGAAGAATTGAATTAAATGCTTTGCTGTAATGACTCACATCCTCACAAGTACCACTCATTAATTGTAGGTGCTACATGACATGAATGTTCTAGGGGATAGCAAATATAATATTTTGAATGCTTTTCTTTCCCAGAATTACCCCAGAGAGAGAGAAAAATGATCTCAGTGGTGGTTACTGAAAACATATGCCAGCTTGATTTCCCCAGCAATGATATGAACAGTGAAGAACAAAGCATTTGTACCTCAGCTCAAAGAAAGGCGGCCCGATTTCCACCAAATGGATTTCAACCTGACTTAGGTATTACAGGCATACCTTGTTTGATTGCACTTCACAGATATTACATTGTTTGCAAATTGAAGGTTTGTGGCAACCCTGCCTTGAACAAGTCTGCTGGCACCATTTTTTTCCAACAGCATGCACTCACTTCATGTCTCTGTGTTACAGTTTGGTAATTATTACAATATTCCAGACTGTTCCATTACCATTATATCTGTTATGGTGATCTGTGATCAGTGATCTTTGATATTACTGTTGTAATTGTTTGGAAGTGCCATGAACAGCACCCAAATAGGATTGTGAACTTAATTGATAAATGTTGTGTGTGTTCTGGCTGCTCCACTGATGGCCATTTCCTCACCTCTCTCTCTCCTTGGCCTCCTTAATCCCTGAGATACAACAGTATTGAAATTAGGCCAATTAAGGACCCTACAATGGCCTCTAAGTATTCAAGTAAAATAGAGTTATATGCCTCTCACTTTAAATAAACAGCTAGACATGATTAAGTTTTTGAGGATGGCGTGTCAAAGGCCAAGACAGGCTGAAAGCTAGGATTCTTGAGCCAGTTAGCCAAGTTGTAAATGCAAAGGAAAAGTTCTTGAAGGACATTAAAGATGCTACTCCAGTGAACCCACGAATGATAAGAAAGCAAAACATTCTTATTGCTGATATGAAGAAAGTTTGAGAGGTCTAGATAGAAGATCAACCCAGCCACAACATTCCCTTAAGCTGAAGCCTAATCCAGAGAAAAGCTCTAACACTTCAATTCTATGAAAGCTGAGAAAGGTGAGGAAACTTCAGAGGAAAAGTTTGAAGCTAGAAGAGGTTAGGTCATGAGGCTTAAGAAAAACTGTCTCCATAGTATTAAAGTGCAAGGTAAAGCAGCAAGTGCTGACGCAGAAGCTGCAGCATATTTTCCAGAAGATCTAGCCAAGATCATTGATGAAGGTGGATACACTAAACAACAGATTTTCATGGTAATGAAACAGCCTTATATTGGGAGAAGATGCCATCTAGGACTTTCATAGCTCAGGAGGAGAAGTCAATGTCTGGCTTCAAAGCTTCAAAGGACAGGGTGACTCTCTTGTTAGGGGCTAATGCAGCTGATGAATTTCAATGGAAGCCAATGCTCATTTACCACTGTGAAAATCCCAGGGCCCTTAAGAATTATGCTAAATCAACTATGCCTATGCTCTATCAGTGGAACTACAAAGCCTAAATGATAGCTCATCTGTTTACGTTATGGTTGAATGAATATTTTAAGCCCACTGTTGAGACTTACTGCTCAGAAAAAAAAAAGATTACTTTCAAAATATTATTGCTTATTAACAATGTATCTAGTCACTCAAGAACTCTGATGGAGATGTACAAGGAGATTAATATTGTTTCCATGCCAACAATGGATGTTGTGTTAGTAGGGATGGATACAATATTATGGATCAAGGAGTTATGGATCAAGGAGTAATTGTGACTTTCAAGTTTTATTATTTAAGAAATATGTTTGGTAAAGCTATAGCTTCCACAGATAGTGATTCCTCTGTTGGATCTGGGCAAAGTAAAAAAAAACCTTCTGGAGAGGATTCACTGTTCTAGATGCCATTAAGAACATTTATGATTCATGGGAAGAGGCCAAAATTACAACATTAACAGGTGTTTGGAGGACATTGATTCAAACTCTTATGGATGACTTTGAGGAGTTCAAGACTTTAGTGGAGGAAGTTACTGCAGATGTGGTAGAATTGTAACAGAACTAGAATTAGAAGTGGAGACTGAAGATGTGACTGAATTGCTGCAATCTCATGATCAAATTTTAACAAATGAGGAGTTGCTTCTTATGAATGAGAAAAGAAAGTGGTTCCTTGAGATGGAATCTACTCCTAGTGGAGATACTGTGAACATAGTTGAAATGACAGTAAAGGATTTAGAATATTTCATAAACTTAGTTAATAAAGCAGTGGCAGGGTTTTAGAGAATTGGCTCCAATTTTGAAAGAAGTTCTACTGTGAGTGAAATACTATCAAATAGCATCACATACTGTAGAAAAATTCTCTTATGAGAACAACAGTCTATTGATACAGCAAAGTTCACTGTTGTCTTATTTTAAGAAACTTACATGTCCACCTCAACCTTCAGCAACCATCAACATTGAGGCAAGACCATCTACCAGTAAAAAAAATTACAACTCGCTGAAGCTTAGATGACTGTTAGCATTTTTTTTTTTTTTTTTTCGAGATGGAGTCTCCCTGTCGCACAGGCTGGAGTGCAGTGGCGAGATTTCAGCTCACTGCAACCTCCATCTTCTGGGTTCAAGCAATTCTCCTGCCTCAGCCTCCCCAGTAGCTGGGATTACAGGTGTGTGCCACAATGCCCAGCTAATTTTTTTGTATTTTTACTAGAGACAGGGTTTCACCATGAGGCTGGTCTCAAACTCCTGATCTCAAAAGATCCACCTGCCTCGGCCTCCCAAAGCGCTGGAATTACAGGCAAGAGCCACCACACCCGGCCAATTGATAGCATGATTTAGCAATAAAGTATTTTTAAATTAAGGTATGTACATCTTTTTTTAAGACACAATGCTATTGCACACTTAATAGACTACAATATAGTATAATATAACTTTCATATGCACTGGGAAACCAAGCACTTCAGGCGACTTGCTTTAATGTGATACTCACTTTATTGTGGTCACCTGGAACAATTTTGGTTCCTCTGTTCCTCCTGCTGACTTCTGTTTCAGCACTAAGCACACGGAGACTCCTGACTGAGGTACATAGTGCCTAGATTCTCCTTTTGTTTCAATCCTTTGCTACTTGAACCTCTCCTGGCTTAGTTTGCCAACTTGCTCTGTTCTTTTCCCTGTGCTTTTTGGATATCAGAACTCCAAAGATGGTCCCCAGTCTTCTTTTGTCTTTTGTTCTTGGAGCTGTTCCCTCCACATTCTCAGACGGCTCTCCTGCCCTGGGGAGTGTTCTGCAACTTCCCAGACTCTGTCTAGAAAATGACTGGAGGGCTTCTTTCAAGGTAAGCACGTTACCATGGAGTTGCAAAATGCCACAACTAGTAGGGACATGGATCTTCTAATTTAGAATTTTTCAAGTTACATGCTGGAGAGCCCTAGAAGTTCCATGTGGAAGTGCCTTGAGGACTTTGCACCTCAGGGCAGTGCTGGTGGCACTGAGAACAAGGCTGAATAAGGAGCCCTCTTCACCCTCAAACACTGCAACCCTGCTTTGTTCTGTTTTATATACTGGGCCTCTGTGCAAGATTTTGTTCCAATGCTGAGAAAACAAGATTGACAAACACCAATCCAGTTGTACTTTCTCCACACACAGAAGACTGGTTAAAGCATAAAGAGGAAAGTGACCTTCCCAAGGACACTCTGCTCATCAGTGACCAGATCAAGTGGAACTCCAGTTTCAGGCTTCTTTCCATTATACCAGTGGTTCCCACCCTGGAAGCCCTGGAGAGCATCACAGAAATATCTGGGGTCTGTCCTTGAGAGACTGACTCACTAGCGATGGGGGTATGTGCCTTGGGAAGATGTGATAATATTTTGAATCATAAGTTTCTCAGGAGATTCTGATAGATTTGAGAATTATTGCATTATGCCATCTAACCTTCAAGCTTCCCATTCTAGCAGGTATGAAGTAACATAAGGGAGACACTTCATTACTAATGGGAAGAAGGAAGGAAAGGGGGGAAGTCAGGAGTCATTCAAATTCCCTGAGCCCTCAAGACCATTAATTGTCTTACACAGGTGGGTACTGCAGTGGCGTTTGATTTATGGATCAAAAATATAGCCTTACTATTACATAATACAAAAATTTCTATCATAGTACATTAGGCTCGTTAATCCATAGTATACCTGGCATTGTGCTAGACAGTAAGAACCCAAGGATAAATGAGTTATCCCATAACTAAAGGAGGGAGACAGACAAGTTTATGGACACATATAACACTGAGGTAAGGTTCAGATGGAAAGCAATGGGAGCCCAGAAAGTGGGAGAACCTCTCAAATTGGGAAGAGGTAATAGAGTTTTAATGCCCAAACTCAGTTAACCAGCTAAAGATGGGTTCCTTCCAGGCAGTGGGAACAGTGTGATAAAAGACACAAATGCATGGAAAAGCTTTAGGTATTCTGAAAGCTGCAAGATGCTTGGTGTGGACAGAGATATAGGGAGAAAGGAGTCATTGCCAAAATGGGAGGTGCTGGAAGGGTTGAATACAGTCAAGTCACAGAAGTGCTTGTCCTTTATCTTACGGGTGATGAGGAGTCACTGAGGCATCTTAAGCAGGGGAGCTAGGTGATGCAATCTGACTCATAGAATGTCCACTCATTTATTCATTCATTCATTCATTCATTCATCACTGATTAAATTGTTACTCTGTGCCAGAACCTGTTTCTGATACTGGGGATAGAAAGAAGAATAGATACAGCATTTTTTTTTTCCCCAGAGTTACAGGGTGAATTAGGCCAAGACCATGAACTAGGCCATGGAGCATCCAATTAAGTCCTGCCTGTTGCCATGCTCCATCTGTGCCACTGCACAAGCCCTCCAGCCAGCTCACATGAGGAGGAGTGGCCAGGCAGGCAGTACACTCAGAGGCAACCCAAAGCAAAAGTCTGAGAGGCACCACTGTGTCCATGGCCCACAGCGATGGAGCACCATTGTTGTCTCTAAGCAATTATTGCTATTACTAGCTTAAAAATTTTAAATGAGGTTCTATGGTAGAATTAAATTATTATTCCATGTTATGGACTAAATTTTGTGCTCTTAAAATTCCTGTATTGAAGCCCTAATCCCCAGTGTGACTGTATCTGAAGATAGAGCCTTTAAGGAGGTAATTAATGAGGTCATAAGGGTGGACCCCTAATCTGATAGGACTGGTGTCTTTATAAGAAGAGGAAAAGCCACCAAAGATCTATCTCTCCTCATGCACAGAAGAAAGAACATACGAGGACATGGTGAGAAGGCAGCTATCTGAAAGCCGAGAAGGGAGTCTTCACCAGAAACTAACCCTGTTGGGACCTTAATCTTGGATTTCCAGCCTCAGAACTGTGAGAAAATAAAATTTTGTTGTTTAAGCCACCCAGTCTGTAATAATTTGTTAAGGCAGCTCTAGCAGATCAGTACATCCTGTTAGGTGATACTGAAGTGCCTTACTAATAATAAGATGGTATTTAACAACTGGAAGTTGAGGTAGAACATTCCTAGTAGTGTGCACAGGCATGACGAAGCTTTAGTCACCACTCTCTGAAATGATTCATACCTGTGATAGAAACTGAATTTCATTTAAGATGATTAAGTCTTGCTACAGCTTCACTATTCTAGATTCATCCAAGAGATCTGACTCTGGTCTCAACTCTGTCACTAACTAGCTGTGCCAACTCCTCCCAGTAATTCAGATTCTTTTCTTATAAACCAAAATGGCAGGTGGGGTTGGGGTGGAGGGGAGTGGCTAAATCCTCACAAAGTCCTTTAGAGTGCCAAGGCACAATGATTTTATGATTCTTTTCCTTCTAGTCTCCTGGATAGATATTTCAATGTTGACAAGATCTACTGGGACATTCGCCAGATAAACACACAAATGGTATAGTTATCTAGAAGTGGCCCACTTGCAATAAACCTGATTAGGAAAAGAAATGGACAATTAATTTCAGGCAAACAATAAAAATGTATGAAAATTAAAGATGTAGAGTAATAATGACAGCGATGAGGGCTGGCTCTGCCTTTATTAGCGTCTTTTGTGTTCTTTTATGAAACGTCTATTATCGGCGAACTGGCTGATTATTCTCTCATAATTACTTCATACGGAATAATTAAATAAAATGCAGACAATAATCTTTTATAGACAATTACAAAGAGAAACTTTTTTTTGCAGGAGGAAAGGAAGGGAGGGGTGCTGGGTGAGAAGGCTGGAATATGATTCCTCATTCCTGGACTTTCTGGGGGTTCCCCTGACAGTGCCCAGTTCTCTATTAAGACCTCCAAAGGAACTGTGGGCCTCTGTCTTACGTGCTCAGTACCCGTATCATCACTTCTTTGGCTAGAGGGGGATTTGGCTTCCTGGTAGGAGGGGAAGCTTCGGCAGATTTTACAAAGCAACTCTTAATCCAAATATTCACCTCTAAAGCCTTGTTCTTTGTCTTTGGCCATCTGGGGATGTCAACGCAGTTACCTTAACAGGGTCTGAAGCAGACAGGTCCAGATTTAACTCCCTCTTATTTAAACTATAATCTGGGAATGATTACTGACATATACCTCTTCCTCATCAAGCATATCTAATGTATCACCAGTGGTCTTAGGGAGTGTATCTCCAGAATATTTCCTACATCTTCTACCATTACGTTACTGCCACCACCATAGTTGACCCTCCTCCTCTCAGGCCCCTGAAACAACTTCTGTATAAGTATCCCTACTAAATTTTTTGCCCCAAATAATTATTTCTCCATTTAGTAAATAGTGCAATATTTGAAAAACGTAAGATAGATTAGGCCACTTTTGTGTTTGAAATCTTACAGGGACTTCCTTTTGCACTTATAATGAAATGCACCAAATTCTTTTGCTGAGCTGCAAAGCTCTGCCCTCATTTCCATCACTCTCCCATCCTCAGCCATCAGCTTCAGCCTCCTGACATTTCCAGCATGGCTGTGGCATTCTTAATCTTAGGGCCATTATGCATACTCCCCCTTTGCTTTTTCTTGGCTACTTTCTATGTTATCTTTCAGATTCATTAATGATGACAAGGATTTTCATTTGTTTTAGTCACCTAAAATAGTCCCTACCCTCATGGCACCTATTGTTTTGGGTGGGGGAGCATAATAAAGTAAATATATGAAAATATTCATAACATTATGTGCTGATAGTGATAGAAACAAATTAAAGCTGGAAAGAGAGATGTACTGTGGTGAGGGATGATGTCAGTGGTTGTAATTTTAAATAGTGTAAACAGGAAAGGCCTCATAAGGTGACATTTTAATGAAGACCTAACAGAAATGAGGAGTGAGCTCAGTCAACTGAGATCTTCCAAGCAGCAACACCCTAGAGGTTCTGAGTACACCTATCACCCAGATCTTAGCTTCTAAAGGCCCTTGCTCACTGAAAAGAACAAGGGATCCTTGGGAAATGGCTGACTACAGAGCTAAGGCAGAGAAAGTACAATTCAAATAAATTACTTAAAGAATGAGACAGCCAGATGAAAAGGACACAGGAGGAAGTTCGAAGGGGCTCCTTCTGGCCAAATCTAGGACACGTCCGAGCATCAAAGCAAATAATGATAGAAACAAGTTATGATCCATTGAATAAAAGGGAAATCCATGAGTAAGCATTGATATAAACAAACAAATGAATTAAAAACATGGGGAGAAAATAAAGCTCTTACCTACAGCAGAATGACAATAACTGTAGAAGGAATGATGGAATTAGAAAATTATCATTTGGCAACTATCATAATAATAATTAACTCAGGCAAGAAACATTGATGGATAATAAAACTAGTGGGTGACAGTGGGGTTAATGGAAGAGATCTCAAAGTATCTCCACAGAAAATATTTAGTAAGTGCAAAGGGGAAAATTAACTTTAATATAAGTGGAGAAAGTGGAAGATGCCACCTAAATCAACCGATCAAAGATACTATCAACATGAATGGGACAAACTAATATTTCTTGTCACCTTAGAGAATACCAATGAGAAGAACACAGCATTACTTCTGGAATATTTCTGACTGAAATCCATAACCTGGGTCTAATTATGAGAAAGGGTTGGGTCAACCCAAGTTGAGGGATATTCTACAAAATGACTGCCTTGTAATCGCAAAACACATCAAGAGTAGGAGACTCAAGTAAAGAGTGAAGGACTGTTTGAGATTGAGGGAAATCAGAGAGATGTGACAACTAACTATAATCCATGATTCTGAATTGGTCTCTTTTGCTGTAAAAAAACATCAATGGAGCATTTAGTGTAACTTGATTGGGGTCTCTGTGTGAGGAGTGTACGATATGTCCTTATCCTGTTCTTGCAACTTTTTTTGTAAGTTTGAACTTGTCTCAAATAATATTACACTTAAAAAAGTATACTCTAAACTTCCATGCTTTAACAATTGCCAGTGACAAGCTCCCTGGAACACAAATTGCAACTGCCTGTGATATGGCCATGAGTGGTGATAAGACAGTTCATTGCCTCACGTCTGAAGGACCTTTGGGGCCACAGCCAAGTGTGATGAGGATGAGGAAGAAGAAAAGAAGGAAGAGGGGGTTGATGGGGTGGCTTTGTCCCTTGGCTCTTGGTACTAACTCTCATTTGCAAATTCCTCTCCAGGAATAGTAGCATGATCAGAACCCTTTTAACTCCAAATGTAATCTCACCAGTTGTCTTCCTGTGTGGTTGGCAGTGTGTGGGTGGCAGCAAATAGAAGAAAGATCTGAAAAAGTAGAAAGAAATAGATACAAATGGAAAAAAACATCCCACCATAATATGTATTCTTCCTTCTCCCCCTACAACCCTAAAACAGAATAATAAAAGGGAAAAAAATCAGCCACTACCAGGAAATTTCCCAGGTTCTTGTGGGCCAAGGAGAAGGCAAGCAAAGTAGCATTTCACCCACATGACCTTCTTATCAATGGACCCCAGCTAGACTGCCTACATCCAGAATATTTATAAGGCTCTAGGAAGGTGTTCAGAACTGGAGACAAACTCAAACCCTGCCTCTTAGAGAAGTGTGGCAGTGGCTTCAAGGGCTGCATTCCTTCTGTGGGCTCAAGTGCCCACAATCTCACGCTCAGCACTGCAAGCTTGCCTCTTGAAGCACCTCAACTAAGGCCTAGGGAATGTGCCCAGTTGCCTAAAGTCCAAGGTTATCTTTAAAATCTGGAATGGTAGTTTGCTCTACCAGGTGTAGCATAAACTCAGAAGCCAGACTGCCTGGGTTCAAATTCTGACTCCAGCTCTCATCATCTGTGTGAACATGCGTTAGTTTCTTAACCTCTTTCTGCCTCAGTGTTCTCATCTCAATATTGGGGGCAATCATAGAATTTACTTCTTGAGATTGTTGTGAGGATGAAATGAGATGGAACTTAGCATCCAATAAGTGTCATTATACTATTTCTTTTTGGGCTAAGTATTTTTTATTTTGGTAAAAAACACATAATTTACCATTTTAATGTTTAAATGTTCGTTCGATGACATAAAGTATGTGTACGTTGTTGTGCAATCATTACTACCACCTATCTCCAGAACTTTTTCATCATCCTAAACTGATAGTCTGTACACATCGAACAATTACTATTTATTCTCTCTCTACACTTCCAGCTTCTGGCAACCACCATTCTACTTTCTGTCTCTGTGAGTTTGCGTGCTCTAAGTGCCCTAAGTTGGTTGGGTGGAGAGAGAATGAGAGAATGAATCATATAGCACTTATCCTTTTGGGGTTGACTGGCTTATTTCACTTAGCATAATGTCCTCAAGGTTAATCCAGGTTGCAGCGCGTGTCAGAGTTTCATTCCTTATTGTGGCTGAATACTATTTTATTATATGTATATAACCACAATTTGTTTATCCATTCATCTGTCAATTGAACATTTGGGTGGTTTCTATCCTTAAGCTATTATGAGTAATGCTGCCATAAACATTGGTGTACAAATATCTCCCTGAATCCCTGCTTTTAATTCTTTTGATTTTACTATTGTTTCATGCAAAACCTCTGCCTGCCCAATCCCTGCTGCTTTCTGATAATAACCTTGTCTGACTCCTGAGACAGCCTGGAAATAGTGCTGCCATCTTGTTTCCCTCAGGAATCTTAGCTTTCATTGTTTGATTTTGGTAGGAAATTAACAACTATCCTTGATCTCAGCCACACACTCAATGCTGAGAAAAAGGAAGAAGAGAAGTTGATGAAAAGGACAAGAGCTTTAGACTCAGAAAGAACACCATGAGAACCCTGGTTCTTTTATCTTAAGCTGTGTGGGCCTTGCCTCATTCATTTAGTCCCTCTGAGTCTCAGTTTTCCCATATATAAAGTAATTTCTATACATAAATATCGACTTTTTTTGTAAAAATTAACTGAGATTATATGTGTAAATTCCTGGCTTATAGTTGTCCCTCAATAAATATTACTTCCTAACCTCCTTGCTAGGATTAATGCAAAAAAGTGATGTAAACTGGCAGTTTCGTTATTTATTTATTTATTTATATCATAATCACATCATTACTCATACTTGAGGGCTTGTCATGGGCTGGGCACTGAACTAAGTTTTTTACATAATTTATTAAATTTTCTCGGTATCTCTTTGAAAAGGTAGGTACTATTGTTATCTCTAATGTGGAAACTATGACTTAGAGAGATTCATTATTTTGCTCAAATTTCCATAGCTAGTAAGTGGCAGAGTCAGGATTCAAATAAAGCAGGTTAACTCAAAAAGCAACTGCAACAAAAGCAAAAATTGACAAGAGGGATCTAATTAAACTTAAGAGCTTCTGCACAGCCAAAGAAACTATCAACAGCGTAAACAGACAACCTACAGAATGGGAGAAAATATTTGCAAACTATGCATCTGACAAAGGTCTAATATCCAACATCTATAAGGAACTAAACAAATTTACTAGAGAAAAACAAACAACCTCATTAAAAAGTGGGCAAAGGACATGAACAGACACTTTTCAAAGGAAGACATACATTCAGCCAACAAACATATGAAAAGAAAGTTCAACATCACTGAGCATTAGACAAATGCAAGTCAAAACCACACTGAGAAACCATCTCACACCAGTTAGAATGGTTACTATTAAAAAGTCAATAAAATCACAGATGTGGTCAAAGTTGTAGAGGAAAGGGAATACATATGGTGTTGGTGGAAGTGTAAATTACTTCAACCATTGTGGAAAGCAGTATGGCAATTCCTCAAAGAGCTACAAGCAGAACTACCATTCAACCCAGCAATCTCACTACTGGGTATATATCAGAGGAATATAAATCATTCTGCCATAAAGTCACATGCACATAAATGTTCATTGCTGCACTATTCACAATAGCAAAACACAGAATCAACCTAAATGCCCGTCAATGACAGACTGGATAAAGAAAATGTGGTACATAAACACCAAGGAATACTATGTCACCATAAAAAGAATGAGATCATGTCTTTTGTGGAAACATGGGTGGAGCTGGAGGCTAATACATTTAGCAAACTAAGGCAGGAACAGAAAACCAAATTCCACATTTATCACTTATAAGTGGGGGCTAAATGATGAGAACTCATGAACACAAAGGGAACAACAGACTCTGGGGTCTACTTGAGGGTGGAGGGTGGGAGGAAGGGGAGGAGCAGAAAAGGGAACTATTGGGTACTGGGCTTAATACCTGGGTGATGGAATAATCTATACAACAAACCCCCATGACACGAGGTTACCTATGTAACAAACCTTTGCATGTACCCCCGAACCTAAAATAAAAGTTAAAAAAAAAGAGGGAAAAAAGAGGGAAAAAAGAAAAAAAACAAAAACAAAAAAAAACCAGGTTGACTCCCAAGCTGTATTCATTACTTTCACACTCGAATACCTCTACAAATAAAGAAACAAATAAATGGAAAACCCCCCAAAATAAAAAATCATAGAAAGTGACAGAAAAGGGGAAGAATTTTGACATTTTTAAGTATGTGTTGACAAGTGGGGGAGCAATGTGGATAGTATAGTTGGGTGAATATGTATCTGAGTAAATGATTGACATAGGAGTATATGTTAACAGACCATTACAAAGATGGAGAAAAGTCTATAATAGAGTTCCATGGGACTCTGCCCTGGACATGCTCAGCAGTTTTATTTTACCAATAGCTTGTATGAAGTCATAGAAAGGATTGTGGGATCACACAGATCTGGGAAGACTAGCTATTGGATGACAAATAAGTCTCAGTATATGACAAAGATGAAGAATAAACAATATGCATTTTAATCAGGATAAACATAAAGATCTGAACTCAGGTAAAAAGAAAACTGCACAACTGGAATATGGATAAACTGATTTGCTAGAAGTTAAATGAAAAAAAGATTAAGAATGATTCATTTGACCAAAAAGGTTTTATACTCCAGTTGTGGGATATGCTAGCCAAACACCATATATTCCCTTAAGCCCTGCAATTAGTAGTATAGTGTTCAGGCAAAGATGAAGACCATTGCATTGATTTGATCACACCTGAAACGATGTGTTCAGTGCTAAGAGTCCTTCCCAAAGAAGGGCCTGAACAAACCAGTGTTTATATGGGTGAGGGCAGAGAGAATAGTTAGGGTGAAAAGAAATCTGAAAGGCACATCCCTCATGACCTGTTGTTGAGGTGGCCAAACCCCAGAGAAAAACTATTTAGCTTGGAGAGAAGATTTATAGGGACATAATGGGGTGGCAGTCCTGGCATACAGTAAGGGCAGGGCTCTGAGTGGGTGGGTAAAGTCTGTTATTTTTCTCTAACTGGCTTTGTGATTTGAGAAAGCCACCTTCTAAGTCTCATTTTTTTCATCTGTAAAACAAAACAAAAAAAAAGTTTGGATTAGATAAATGCTTTCTTTTTTATTATGTGGTAAAAACCCCACATATTAAAAAATCTACCTTCTTAACAAATTTGTCTGTGTACAGAACAGTTTTGTTAACTATATGCACCTTGTTGTGAAGCAGATCTCTAGAACTTTTTCATCTTGCATGACTGATATTCTATACCCATTGAACAGCAACTCCCATTCTACTCAGCCTCCAAATGGAGGCTTCCTCCAGACTCTGACAACCACCACTCTTCTTTCTGCTTCTCAGAGTTTGAATACTTTAGATAACTCATATAAATGGAATCACATAATGTTTGTCCTTCTGTGGCTGGCTTCTTTCATTTAGCATGTCTATAAAGCTCATCCATATTATAGCCTATGACAGGATTTTCTACTTTTTTAAAGCCAAGTAATATTCCATTGTATGTATATAACATTTTCCAAAAATCCATTCATCCATTGATGGACATTTAGGTTGTTTCCATCTCTTGGCTATTGTGAATAATGTTGCAATAAACATGAAAGCAAAAATATATTTTCAAGATCCTGATCTCAATTCTTTTTGGTCAGTACCCACCTGATTTCAATTCTTTTTGGCCAGTACCCACCTGATTTCAATTCTTTTTGGTAAGTACCCAAAAGTGTGATTGCTGGATCATATGGCAGGACTATCTTAATTTTTTTGAGGAGCCTGCATACTGATTTTCACAGTGACCGCACCATTTTACATTCCTACCAACAGTGAACAAGAGTTCCAATTTCAGCAAAGTAAACAATCAACAGAGTGAAAAAGCAACCTACAGAATGGGAGAAAATATTTGCAAACCATATATCTGATAAGAAGTTAATATCAAAAATACATAAGAAACTCCTACAACTCAACAACAACAACAAAAAACCCAAATAACTAGATTAAAAAATGGGCAAAAGCCTTGAATGGACATTTCTCTAAAGAAGACATAGAAATAGCCAACATGTATATGAAAATATACTCCATATCACTAATCATCAGGGAAACGCAAATCAAAATCACAGCACCTGACACCTGTTAGCATGGATGGCCATTATTTTTAAAAATAGACAATTTCTTAAAAGTTAATTTTTACTTTTATATTCTGTGACTCCAAAATTTAAAGTAACCAAAGCACTTCGAGTTTCAAAGAAAGCTACAAATTTCATATATATTTAATTTGTTGTGAAGCCTGATGGCTGGATTCAGAGTCTGTCTATTTTCAATTTACATACGATTTTAAGGAGCATGATTCTGTGATTTCCTGCACCCTAACAGATTATATAAAGGCAATTAAAAGGGTATAAGGATGTCCAAAGTAGTGAACTGATGACAATTCAAAGTGACTGCTGACAGCTTGATATACAAGAGAAGAATGAGAAAAACATAGAGGTGAGGATTGAAAGAATTTAATTTTGCAAACAATTGATTGGTCCCATGTAATACTTGGACTAACGAAAGTATCATTGCATCACAGTACAGCAAAGTAATCAATGTTCATAATATTTCTGGTTTCTTTAAGAGGGCAAATAAAATCCTGAGTTGCCCTAAGAGGGCAAACCTGAATGAATTCAGACCATCTGAAGGACAGAGTGGAGAGGGGTTAGGACCTTGGAGCCATTTAGACCTGAATCTGGATCCCATCTCCATCACTTACTAATGATGACGACTCAGGTGTCTGTTTCCTCTTCTGTGAAATAAGGATGATGATACCATAGAGGGATTTGGGGAGGATTTCAGAGAATCAGAGTCCCATATGTATATCCCATAGTGAGAACTCAGTGAGTGTTGGCTGCTGCTCTGAAAAGGGTAAGTCACTGGTAGAAAAATGGTAATTGTTGTGCATCCAGCCTGCAAAGCAGGCCAGAGCTATCCAAGAAGGAATGGGGAAGAGCAAGCAAGGTGCTTCCCCATATGGAGAAGGCCAATCCAGACTGGATGAACTGGGTCCACTCCTAGTGCTTGCGTTACTCTCAAGAGCTTCCAGCTCCCTCCCACCTTCTTGGGATAGTGATCTTTCAAAGGTTTTTGAGTATTTCCATGTGCCAGGCTTTGGGTTTCCATGATGCACAGGGATAATTTATGGTCACAATCCTTTCTGTAGAGAAAAATGAACTGGAACATGTTATCCTATTGAAGCAACTGAGGTGTCATGTCTCCCAGGAGTACATACACGTTATAAACTTGGGCTGGAGAGGACAAGGCTTTGATCAAGGGAATGAATCAACCACTGGCAAAAATTCAGGCATGGATTGACAGAGGGGGATGAGGCGTGTTTAGGCATTTGGGTCTTCCTGGACTCTTCTAAGTCACATCACTTCCCTATTCACACTCAGCTCCCAACATTTTATATACATATATCCTATTTTATTCATGCATCTTTTATTTTTATCTCTCTTAGATAATAAAACGTAAGCTCCTTTGGGATAAGCTTTTTGTCTTTCTGTTCACTACTGTAACAACATCCAGAACTCTACTGGAGACTTTTCTCCCTCTTTATAGTGGTCCACCAACCTATACTCTAAGGTCAATCACTTATTCAGATATAAAGTGTATAGTCATCTGAAATATTGGTTGTGATCATAGGCATAAAGTTAACTCTAAAAGCATATTAACAGATAAAACTGACATTAAACAATATGATCACATAAGGTATAAGGGGAGACGTTGAGAGTGGACAGGGAGTCCAGTCAAATTATTTTTTTGTAGAAAGAATGCTGAAGGAGCCTATGAAGAAAAACCTTTTCATGCTTTATCTTCATTTACTAAGAACTTACCACTTTGTTAAAAAGAACATAGATTAATTCACATTATTAGACAACAAATGTGCTCTTAAAACAAGTTAATTCCAACAATTTAAAGATTGAACTTCCTAGTTGTATATGTATTTTATTTCAAAGTGGGAATTTTAAATGACATATTTTTGCACTAAATATAGGTATATATGTATAGATGTTCAGATATAAAGTGTATAGTTACACAAAATGATAGCTTATTTTACCATTTTAGATAAGTGAAATCTTGATGTAAGCATGGTATATAACATCTAAAGCAAATAGCCATTTTAGCTAAAAATCTTTTAAAAATATGCTATTACATTCTGACCTGTTTTAAACAGAGCTATGGTGAAGGCTGGGTGAATATTATGTGCACTGATTACCATGCTGCACTGTGAGGGCAATGAGGCTTTCATTGGCCCAAGTATTCCATAAGCCCAGTTGACTATGTTTTAAAAATTCTCCTCCTTTCAAATATTTAGCAGTAAAAACTCACATAGATCAAACAAAATCAAACCCTTAGATACACAGTACAAAACCAGGCAAGCATAGGGGAGAAGCATGTGTGTTGGGGAGACCTCAGCAGCTGTCCTGAGGTTCTCTGGGGGGCCACAGTGGCCTTGGGTAGTTTGAGTGTCTTTCACTTTGCCCACTCCAAGGAGGTAATGCAGCACAGGGGTGAGGATTCTGAAGTGCTGATTCTGCTTTCACTACTTTCTGCGTGTCCCAGGACAAGTTATTAAACTTCTCTAGACATTGCTTACCTCATCTCTAAAACAGGTATAACAATATTGAGTGTCTCTGGACATAGGCATGGGCAAGGACTTCATGTCTAAAATACCAAAAGCAATGGCAACAAAAGCCAGAATTGACAAGTGGGATCTAATTAAACCAAAGAGCTTCTGCACAGCAAAAGAAACCACCATCAGAGTGAACAGGCAACCCACAAAATGGGAGAAAATGTTTGCAATCTACTCATCTGACAAACGGCTAGTATCCAGAATCTACAATGAACTCAAACAAATGTACAAGAAATAAACAAACAACCCCATCAAAAAGTGGGCGAAGGATATGAACAGACACTTCTCAAAAGAAGACATTTATACAGCCAAAAGACACATGAAAAAATGCTCATCATCACTGGCCATCAGAGAGATGCAAATCAAAACCACAATGAGATACCATCTCACACCAGTTAGAATGGTGATCATTAAAAAGTCAGGAAACAACAGGTGCTGGAGAGGATGTGGAGAAATAGGAACACTTTTACACTGTTGGTGGGACTGTAAACTAGTTCAACCATTGTGGAAGTCAGTGGGGCGATTCCTCAGGGATCTAGAACTAGAAATACCATTTGACCCAGCCATCCCATTACTGGGTATATACCCAAAGGATTATAAATCATGCTGCTTTAAAGACACATGCATACGTATGTTTATTGCGGCACTATTCACAATAGCAAAGACTTGGAACTAAGCCAAATGTCCAACAATGATAGACTGGATTAAGAAAGTGTGGCACATATACACCATGGAATACTATGCAGCCATAAAAAATGATGAGTTCATGTACTTTGTAGGGACATGGATGAAGCTGGAAACCATCATTCTCAGCAAACTATCTCAGGGACAAAAAACCAAACACCACATGTTCTCATAGGTGGGAATTGAACAATGAGAACACATGGACACAGGAAGGGGAACATCACACACCAGGGCCTGTTGTGGGGTGGGTGGAGGGGGGAGGGAGAGCATTAGGAGATATACCTAATGTTAAATGACGAGTTAATGGATGCAGCACACCAACATGGCACATGTATACATCTGTAACAAACCTGCACATTGTGCACATGTACCCTAAAACTTAAAGTATAATAAAAAAACATAAAACATCATAAATACTTACAGTGAAAATGATGTGTCTGTATTAAAATAAATGTGCTGATTACTAGCAACTTAAAAAGAAATAATTTTATGGCAAAACAACAACAACAATATTGAGTGTCTCACCTGGTTATTGTGAGCATTATACGATCTGGGTGAAAGGTGCGCAGCTTGGTGCCTGGCTCCAGCAGCCATTGCATGACAGGTAGCAATTGTGATCATTCCCTTTAGATTTTTCAGACCTGACCATCCCATCTGAAATTGTACCCCTTCCGTATTCACCCTCACCTCCTAACACTTTATATATACCCTCTCTTATGTGTGCATCTTTTATTATTCTCTCAGGTAATAAAATATAGGCTCCATTAGGATAAGATTTTTGTGTCTCTGTTTACTAGCAGAACAATATCTGGTACTTATTAGGTGCTCAGTGAATATTTGTTTAATGATAAATGAATAAATTCACCTACTAGGGCGTGGGGCAGACAACACTGGTAAACAGCACAGTGGAGCACCATTTCTACCATAAAGCTTAGCATATGGGAAGATCACTCAGTTTACCCTGAGTGTCCCATTCTTGGAGCCCTACAAGCACTGAGGAAGTGATTAGATACTCCTGAGATTGTTCACTGGTTGCTTCATGAAGCCCAGTGACAAGATGGTGCTCAGGACCAGAGGAAGCAGGACAAATGAAGGTCTCCTGTTGGTACCACCTGGACATATCAGAGCCAGTCTCAGAACTTGGTTTTCTCCCAGTGCTCGTGTCGATTTTTGTCCTGTCTGCAGCCTTGCGTGCAGGCAGAATAAGCATTCCCTATGTTCTGCAGTTCCAGGGCCTATGGCAAAGCCTTTTCAGCCTCTCAAATTCTCCCCCAAATACCAACGAGATTTTAACTTTATATTTTTAGGGCAGTTTTAGGTTCACTTTTCATTTTATTTATTTGGAGCAGTTTTAGGTTTCATTCTAGCAAAATTGAGAGGAAGGAGGAAGGTACAGAGATATCCCAATGGGACTTTTACGTGCTACAGTTACATTCTCGAAGATTAAAGTTTGGATATCCATCAAAATGCAAAGATCTTTTTTCAGGGTCAACGTTTTTACTCCTTACAGTGGGTGTGGGATTTAATTCACAGATATTTTGGAGTGGGGGTGAGTGTGGGACAAGAGGAGAGAAATAGGGTAGAGAGACCCATCAAGTTCATGTCAGACTTTAACTATTTTCTTATTTTGCCTAAGCCTATATTGCCTCTGGCACCTGTAAGCAAATATTCTCAAATATAAAGCACCTTTTAGCTCTTTAGTTGAACAACTCTTTAAGAACCTTTGGTAGAAAATTCCTAAAATGTCACACTTTTTAACCTATTAACTTAATCCAAGAAAGAAAGAAGGCTGGTTGAAGTTGATTTGGGATCCTGAAGTAACTATAAGAATAATGCTTTTTATACTGCAAGAATGGTCAGCTCTTGATTATGAGAAAATAGTATGACTTGATGAATAATGAGACAATCCTTTTGGAAAAGCCTCATTTGACCACTGGATTGACCATTACTTTTGGAGAGAGAGAGCTATGTTACTTGGCTCCAAAAATGATGTAGATGGATTCTGTAGTCCATATTTATGAGATAGAGAAATTATAGAGCATCAAACCAATAAGCAAATTTAGTCAGGAAAACAAGTCGCAAACTTGTCTTGCAATTAGCACATGTTCCATCCCATCACTCAAGCTGTGAGCTTCCATAGCCAGCCCAATAGCTGGTCAGAAAGGTGCTTTTTATCACCAGCACATAATCTCAAAATGGTCAGTTTTCTCTACATACCAGGGCTTGCACAGGTGTCATACATTTTATGAAAATTTACATCAAAATGATTTGAAATCAAAAGGTTTTGCCTCTCAAAGGGTTAATGCAAATTCTCATCCATGCCAGATTACTGTCTCTATTTTTATGCACATATTTATATATGAATATTTAACTTCTATTTTCCCTTATTTATTCAATATTTTAAAATCTTCACTAGATGCTAGCCCATCAATGTGCCTTCTTTGAAGAAGCCAATCCACATTTGGAAGCATAATTCCTTTGCTTTATCATCCTATCACTCACAAATGCGTATTTGTGTGCACCTGTGGCCTTCAGCGACCTCCTGTCTTCATAGGTCACATTGAGGAGCTTGTGAAGAGTTTGTACCTCTTCTTCATGCAAGTGCCAATATGCCCTTCTGTCTAGTTGGTATCTGGGATGAGAAACATGGAGTGGAATTCCTATTCTTAAGTGTTCTCTTGGGGAATATAAGGGCGGGTGGCAGAGAGAAAGGATTAGAGATTCAGCATCTCAATATATAAAAATCTTCAACCCCAGGTATTCGCAATCTTGGGGCACTGAAGAGAACAGACGAAAAATAGCCCTAGATACCAGGAAGGGTATCTAGGAATGGAAGATGCTATCCAACCAGCCTATGCCCTGTCTTTTATTATAAGAGCTCTTGCTGTCAAGAGCTGAGGAGTGAAATTGTTTTCCAGCCACAGTAAAGCAAGACTTCATTTCAGGTGCCTGGTTTATTTAAGATATGAGCAGCCGGGCGCGGTGGCTCATGCCTGTAATCCCAGCACTTTGGGAGGCCAAGGCAGGTGGATCACGAGGTCAGGAGATCGAGACTAACCTGGCTAACATGGTGAGACCCCATCTCTACTAAAAATACAAAAAATTAGCCGGGCGTGTTGGCAGGCACCTGTAGGGAGGCTGAGGCAGGAGAATGGCGTGAACCCAGGAGGCGGAGCTTGCAGTGAGCCGAGATCTCGCCACTGCACTCCAGCCTGGGCACACAGTGAGACTCCGTCTCAAAAAAAAAAAAAAAAAAAAAAAAAAAAAAGATATGAGCAAGGTGAGCTTAGGGCAATCCAGGACTTCATCCTCCTTTGAGCCTTCCCAAGCTGTATACAGCCTTTAAATAATGACCTCCTTTGCACATAACCTGACCTCAAAAATGACCTCTTTGCACATAACCTGACCTCATGAGAGATTCCCCCACTTTTCAGTCTGCCCTATGGACAAAGCCTATACCGGCTTTCATGCATTTTTGACAAATAGCCTCAATTTTCTTCCAGCTGTTTCATGTGTAAATGCTGTTTAGTGTGTGAATCAGTTTCCTGAAGGCAAATAATCCTTCTCAGTTGATTGTCATAATAGCTCATACAACTTTCTACATTCGAAGAGACATGATGTGGACATGAGAGAAATAAAGTTCGACCCTGTCCCCAAAGCCATCCCTTCTGACTTGCCCTGAGGATACCTGAAATTTCTACTAGCAGTCATTAAGAAATTTTTGATCTGGATATGTATTTCAAAATATGATATTGATTGAGAGAGATAACATAATTGTGAACTAATATATCCTATCAGTTATTCACCAAAGATTTATAGTGTGCATTTACTGCCTATGAAGCACACTGCTAGGGAGACTTAGAATTAGAGACTGCCCTTGCTTTCCAGGGTGTGGTAACCATCAGTCATTCTCATAAATATCTGTTTCTCCTTACTTGTGGGAGTGACATGGTGATGTGGGAGGGTTACATTTTCTGCCTCCTTGTTTGGGGGGCAGGGCATAGAATTAATTCTGGCTGAGGAGTTGTGGCAAGCTATGGGTTTAATACTTTGAAATACGGGGTTGCTTGACGCTGTAGCAGAACCTTGCCTATTTTGACTGATATAAGTAGCATACCCTTTTAAGACAGAAAAAAGAGATGGCCATACATGGTTGTAACATACAGAAGTTGTAAGGGAGATACAGCAAAATTCTTATGGAGAGAGATTTCCACAATGAGTAGAATATCTGTGAGGGCCCAATGGAAGTAGTAGCAACTGGGCTGAGCCCAGTTTAGAGAAAAAGAGTAACTCAGAAAAGAATACTCCAGAAACAGTTTAAGCCAAGGTCTAGAGGGAGATAAAGTTAATATTCACAGAGTGTCATAGTGAGTAATTCAGACTGAATCACAATTATTCTAATAATAACAAGCTGCCATTTACTGCCTGTGCTCACCATGTGCCTGGTTATGTGCTAAGTGGTTTACACAAATCATCAACATCATCTTCACAACAGCCCTGGGAGGTAGATACTATCAGCATCTCAATTCTACAGTTGAGGAAACTGAGTCTTTTGGAGGTTAATCAACAGTTTGAGGTCCCACAGCCAGTTGGCACTACTGCAGAGGCTCAAATTCCGGCCTGGCCCCAAAGTCTATGCTCTCAACCATGATGTTCTTCTAATTCTGAAAGCAGGGAACTTAGCAGCTGTTGAGTGGAGGAGGAGTCTGCGCTATGTGTTAGCAGGACTCAGTTAATCTGCTAATGCTGGTCTGCCCACAGCCATGGGGCAGGAAGCAAATCTTTTCGGGATGGTACCCAGCCAGGTAGCCATAGTGGAGAACAGAGAGAATCCAGGTACAGAGGGAATGCTTGGGTCCATTAGGGGGCGCCGTGTGCCTTCAGACTACAAGCTTATGGCTGGCTTTGGTTTTGCAAGACCCTCCTGCGGTCTTTGAGTTCTAGAAGATACTGCAGAAATCAGAGTTCCAGCTCCCAAAAAGCCACAAAAACTGAGTTCTTGTACTGGCCTGGCCTTCCCTATCTATGGGTTTTAGAAATGAAATTTCCATGAGACATTTGACCCTTCAGTTTGGGTTTTAAAGCCAGCCAGAAGTAGATTCCAGGTGCAATTTTTGAACCAACTCCAGCTAGACAGATGTAGCTTCTCATCTGGGACTCCTCACTTACCCCAGAATAACTCACCACCATCACTTTCACCTCCATAACTTGGCTTATGCTCTTCTCTCTGCTGATTTGAATCATCCTTGTTCGTCAAACATAGCCCTCGTCTCTGAACCCCACAGCATCTCTTATTTCTGGCCCAAACAACCTTCAAATAGACCCTAAGCTCCTGTGGGCAGTCATTGTGTTTTCTGCTTCACCCACACCCACAGTCCTTAACCCTACCCTGGGGACATGGTGGGGGCTCAGTGAAAGCTTCAGCTGCTTCAAGCCCACTTTATTTCCATCTTTTCTGATGCTATCAACTGACTTAGGTTCTTTCTCTTACTTTTCTATATAACCCCTGGAATACCCTAACATCTGTATTGCCTCATCTGATCCCCTATTCTTTCAAACCGTGTACTTTGAAGGTTTTCAAGTCAGTCCTAATCAATGTCAGTCCAATTTAAATAATACAATAATAATTTTATAGCTGAGACATCTTGAGCAAGTCACTTACACCTCAGTTCTTTCATTTGCAGAATAGGAAGATAGTGGTGGCAACCATGTACTATAATGGGAGAATTAATGAGATATAAAATATTCAGCACCTGACATATATTGAATATTATACGGGTCTTACTAATCTCCTACTCTCCCTCTATTGTGTTTTCAATCCTCTCTAGAAACAACCTGGTTTCTCCTCACTTACTAAATCCATCTCCTCTCTCCTCTGCTCAGTTCTACTTTCTGCTGATTTGAATCCCGTGTCTCAGACCCTGGGAAGAAGGGCTGAGATGTGTTTCTTAGGAAGATTTTGACCCAGAGGGAAACACCTTGCTGTGGAGCTTGCAGCAGCCCAACTCCCTTAGTGTGGGGTCCTGTGATTCCTGCACACTCGAAAGCGTTATCAACCTGCAGGGAATTTGGTAGTGCTAATCAAACATTTGCTGCACGCCACCTGGAAGTGGTGTGTACTTTAAGATAATGTCTGGCTTCGGATTGGATGCTGGTGATTAGAGCAGTAAATCAGCCCCACTTCGCGGTTGCAGGTTTTCTTGGCCCACTTAGTGCATTGGAGCAGATTTCAGTGTGCAGATGTTTTTCAGCTTCCCTTTTCATCTCTGAGGAGGACAATTACAATATCCTGATGTTCTCCCGACATCCAACTATCCCATTTTGTTTCTGCGTTTTAGCTCATCGATGATAAAAGGCAGGAGAAGCTTAAAAGCTCCCTGTTCATCTTTACTTGAAGGTGCCATCATGCTGGAAAGCTGTGTATGGTTTGCAGCTGAGTGGGACCTTGGTTAAGGTCTCACTGAAGTCATAGAGGAACTTTCACATAATTGACAGCAATTGGCTATTTGGATTTACACTCACTTCCCATCTCCCCACAACAATCACACATACACATACCCTCCTGGGTCCTCAGTTTTTTTGTGGCTTTCCACTTGCAACATGAGATGCAAGACAGGTCACCACTGTGGGGGCAATGCGAGGGCAGCCCCTGGACAGCTGGGGGTTGTCGGGGGGAGAGGCACTGAATACCTTTTGGTTGGGGGCGGGGGTAGTTGGCTACATACCATCCAGCAGAGGGCAGCAGTGCCTAACATTAGATCATAAATCCCTTCCTTTACTCAGATTCAGGCTAAGGCAGGTTGGGGGTGACTCAGGGGTGTCCCCTGCAGCCCTAAGAAATTGAGAAATATTTCCCTTATGAGGTGGGTGGGCTTATTCCTACTGAGAAACAAAGAAAATCTTAGAGCCAGGAAGCTCTTTAGGGAGCAAAGTTCTGACCTTTTCATTTTACAGCAAGAGAATTTGTTCATGGATTCCCAGACTGGTCCAGGGAGGGTGCTTTCCACAATGCCATGCTGCTATTCACTTTGAAGGTGAAATCACCAACTGCGGGAGGTGAGCCCAGTTCATAGTAACCAGAGGAGAGGGTCTGTGTGGCCCCCTCACTTGTTCTCACTCCTCCTTTTAATGCAGTGGGTTAGGTCCTAGTGGTTTAAGAGAAAGCACAAAGACTTCTAGTCCTAGCTCTCTCATTTTCACACATATGCCATTTACCTCCAATCTCTATTTTCCTGTGTAGTGCCTATGCTAGCATGTCTTGCATCTAAAAGCAACTCTTTTCCCCTCTGCCCAACCCAGGGACCTTCCTTGACTCTCTAAACTTGTTCATTTTCTGGGGATTTATCCTTGATATTGGTCTTTCTCTTCAAATCCATCCTGAAAATGAATTTCAGATTAACCTCACTCATCCTTCTCACCTCACATCACTGTCAGGGGCTTCTTGGGGGTGCAGGGAAGAGAAAGGAGGGAACCAATGCATTCAGAAGTGGAGGAAATAAAGAAGCCCAGGCAAGCAGAGCCCAGGGCAGCCATGCAAGGTTATTTTTCAGATTGCTCTCCTAGCACATGCCACTGGGATGGTGGTTTAGAAACTGACACATGGAACAACTTGGGGCAAGATTAAGCCTGGGTGGCAGGTCTAATTGGATCCAGAGCATCATGAGGATATGAACACCTGGAGGCCTGTGAGGGGAACCCCAGGAGACAAGGGAGAAGTAGAGAAGGGAAGGGAGGGGAGAGCCTAACACATGTAAATATTGCCTACATGAAAATGTTGAGGGCTATCAGAAAACCTGTAGACAAGACTTTGTACTGGTGAGTGGTTGCTCTGGGTAATCTCTAAGACCATCTAAACAGCCTCTGGGATTCTATGGGCTGAGTGGGTTACTCTGGATAATCTCTAAGACCATCTAAACTCAGCCTTTGGGATTCTATGAGCTTGGTGGAATTCTGAAATGCCTTAGGCTGAAGGAGATTCCATAGGGTCACTAAGTTTCCCACCTGGAGCTGAGCTGTTTTAGTATACAGTAGGCCAGTTGCTTCCATTTTCTGCGCATCACTGAATAGAATCTCCCTGGTGCTTCTGGGAGCTGAATGGGATTATGGGAAAAGCACTGTATTTGAATCAGGAGACCTAGGTCTTGGTCCTGCTTTTCTCGCTAACCCATTCTGTGATCTTGGGAAAGTCATTTTTCTTCTCTGGTTTTTAGTTTGCTTTTCTGTCAAATATAACAGTTGAAATACCTCAGGGCAGGCAAATGTGCAGCACAAATGAAGCCAAGCAGTCTGTTCCCATAGCACATATTGCTGTTAGATGGCAACATTCTTTCCCACTGAACAACACTTAGAATCCTTCTCAACACTGCATTGGAGACAACCAATATCAACCAAATAGAGCTTTTCTTCGAGATTAAAACTACTTACTATTGTTGGACTAGATAATTTTAAACTTGACTTGCAGTTCTAAAGTAAACTCTTCCTCTCCCATATACTGCCCATGAATGGCATGGTCATAGAAAAAAGGGATATCTACAGCTGTTTTCAAAAGAGCTACGTGAAGTAAAAAAGAGACATCTGAAGACATTGGTGTCAATTAGAAGTATTTAGCAAGTGCCTACCAAGTGTCTAGAAGTTTTCTAAGTTCTTTATAGAGAGATTCAGCCTAAGATACAGCTATTTCAGGGACTAATAACAATAGCCTTAAACTCACTTTGATTCATAAGGGCATAGAATTCTTTTCTATAATTCAGGATAGGAAATCCCTTATTCTCCAGGTAACAAAAGTGGGGTGGAGAAAGTTAAGTACTACAGAAGAGTCAGAGAGACATAACCTGGTGGCTAAATGTATTGCAGACCAAGTCATGGAGACTAATGCTAACATACAGGCCTATTTTGCATGAAGTCTTCCCCTATATTTTCAAACAGAATAAAATCCCATTGTCCTTGACCCCCATTATACTGCTCAATAGATTCTGCCATGTACTAACTTTCTGTAAAAGTCTAAGCTCTGTGAAACTAGAGCTTATATTAAGTTCCTCCCTATATGTATTCCCAACATCTAGCACAAGTATTTGTATGGTAAACACACCTGATAGCAATAACTTAAGCATACTCTGAGAATGACCCTATATGGCAGATGCACTGAATGTGTGTATTCAGAGTTCAGAGCTAGAGAATCTGGGAGTGGCCAACCATAAATCCATCCCTTGTCTATGAGTATCATCTGAGCCCCTGGCCTATCCTGTAGAACACAATTGTACAGGAGATTGAGGCCCTGAATATTGGGTTGAATGAAGGTTGCCAGGTAGAAGCTGTTAGGGGGAGGGTGCTAAGCGGAAATGTTATATAAACTGCATGTTTTTTGCAAGCAGTTGTAGTTTTTCAGCCCAGCCCATTGTCCCTGGGTGGTGCAGTTCTCCTGTCCAGCCTGCTACCACTGGACTGCATGTAAAATGGTTCTCCTGTCCAGCCCGCTGCCACTGGACTCTCGCTCCTGCCTGTATGTCCCCCACAAAACCCCATGTCTCATTTGCAGGCTGTGGATCTCTTATTTGGCCTCTCAAACCTGGTGCCACTCACCACCCTGTTCCCCTGCCCCCCAACCCCCGGAGTTGAAGGAGGTTTGGTACAACAAAAAAGTGTTATTCCCAAATGTTACTTGAATTAAGATACAAATTTTGTTCCCAGTCAGTCTATTCCTATGAGGAGCTTATAGTCCATATAATTGGATCAACAAAAACTATGCCCAAGACATCAGCAGAAGAAAGAAAGAAAATATGGACTTAAGTGTAAAAGTCCTCAACTGGCTGAGGTCAGGATCTAGAAGCAAAGGAACTGTGTCAAACCCAGTCCTGTGTCTTTGTGGTTTATGCAGTTTGGGGTGACTGTGGTGAAAAGACCACAGAAAATAAGTTCAAGAGGTCGTCCCTTCTCTGATCCTTAATTTGCTCAACTATAAAATAAGAGGTTTGGTCAAAGATATGTTTGTTTTCCAAATCTAATATCCCATGATGTTTTAATTCAGAGTCTGTAATTATTTATTAACCAAATATAAGCCAGTCATCACTATCAGACTGCATTGTGTGAGATGGTGGATTCAGACTTGCCAGATTCTGCCCTACCAGAGAGCTCAGCTCTAGCTGGTCAGGGAGATAATTCACTAACAAGTGCAGAGTACTGGCTGGCTCCATCTGTGAAGAGGTTTATCAGAAAGGTTCAAGAACAGCTTCCTTGGAGGACTCAAGCTATGAAGCTATAGGTGAGATTTCTGTTCTAAGGGGTGACAGCCTAACAGTGCCCAGGAAAATTCAAGAAAGTCCACAGATCTAGATCCTGGAGACTAGAGCTGGACAAAGGAGCTACATATTTATCAAACAACTTCAGAGTTGACAAAGCATTTCATAAGTGTTGCCACTTTGATCCCCGATAACAAGGCTAAGGGTTGTTATTTATGTTTTCTAGATGAGGTAGCTGAGATTCAAGGTCAACAAGTAGTTAAACAGATTTTTGAGAAAGAGAAAAGAGCAACTTCTAATATCCAAAAGCTGGTCTGGCACTCGCAGCTAGGCCATGTTACTCTCCTATTGGACATAAACAATCTCAAAGTATACAAACCCCCAACTAGGTTACTCTGAGACCAAGACAAAATGAGACAAAGCACAGCCAACTTCATAATTTTGTCTAAACACTGACAAAAACAAGGCCCCTGTGTCACCCTGAAACATCAAACATACCCTCTCTTGGGTAGAATGAATGCATTCCACTTTTTTTACTAGTTGCAGATTCTCATTCTCACTATAGAAATAATTTATTGAGATTGCCAATCATAGACTTGTCTCTACTTTCTGATAGCATTCAATCTTAAGTAAACCTTTATTTCCTTAGACCCTTCCCCATATCACCCATCCAGGGCCCAAATGCTATAATAGGTTCTTTCTAACATTCTCTTACTCAGATGCCCATAATTTCTCATGGTGTGTGCTCTCTATTGCTACAAAGAGTAATAAACCCACCTGGGTCGACTACAGATATTTTCCTGATGGTCTTTGGCTAGTGGGCATTGACAATTTCCATAAGGTTAACTGTGTTTTCATGGTCACACAATTAGTAATGGTTGGTCTTATGATATTTAGCCCCTGGTTCTTTCCAGGACACCAAACCACTGAAAGAAACAAGGCTCACTCTCACTACTATCATAAGACAGAGGCCCAGAAAGTGTTGTGGTGCCATCAAAAGATAGTTAAAAGGTACTAGGGTATAAGAAGAATGAGTCATCTGAAAAATTTCCATTTGAGTCACTATTTTGACTCTTCAAATCCTTTTCAAATCATATGATTCCAGTGGAGCCTTACATTACTCTGGCGAGGAAGGTGGGGTGGGCATTACTGTGCCATTTGGCAGGTGGGATGGAAAGTGATTTACATAGTGTTCCTTAGCTACTCAGGGAA